>NC_000015.10:36004146-36307177 GCF_000001405.40 Homo sapiens | reverse complement strand
CATTGCTAAGATAAATAAAAGGCCTAAAGAAATGTAAAGAAATAATATATTCATGGATTGGAAGACTTACTATTGTTATCAATTATTTCCAAATTGACCTAAAGTTTCAAAACAATTTCAATCAAAATTCCTGTGGAAATTGGCAAGCTAATTCTAAAATGTATGAGAATTCAACTAAAAACCTTATAATAAGCAAAGCCATTTTTAAAAAGAGCAAGTTGGAAGATTTATCCTATCTAATTTCAAGAATACCTATAAAGTTATAGTAATCAAGACAGTGTGGTGTTGAAGGATATATATAAGGATATATATATACATTTGTTTTATATATATATATTTTCCACATCTCTCTCTTTCTCTCTGTATATATATATATACATATATATATATATACATATATATATATATATGTATATATATATATATATTCATTCATATCAGTGAAACAAAATATGAAGTCCAGGAAAAAACTCACATATATATGGTCAGCTGGTCAACAGATTTTCACAAAGGGGCTAAGACAGTATGTGGAGAAATGATTGCCTTTTCAACAAATGGTTTTGGAGAGAGATAGAGAGACTAACTTCTGTCCTTATCTCTCATCACACACAATAATTAATCATTTGGATCACTGACCTAGGCATAAAAGCTCAAATAATAAAGTTTCTTTAAAAAAAAAAACAAACAAACCATTAAATTAGGCTGGGTGTGGTGGCTCATGCCTGTAATCCCAGCACTTTGGGAGGCCAAAGTGGGAGGATCACTTGAGGTCTGGAGTTTGAGACCCGCCTGGCCAACATGGTGAAACCCTGTCTCTACTAAAAATACAAAATCAGCTGGGTGTGGTGGCATGTGCCTGTAATCCCAGCTACTTGGGAGGCTGAGGCAGGAGAATCACTTGAACCTGGAGAATCCCTTGAACCTGGGAGGCGGAGGTTGCAGTGAGCTGAGATTGTTCCACTGCACTCCAACCTGGGCAACAGAGGAAGAATCTGTCTCAACAACAAACAAATAAAAAAACCATTAAATGAAAATCTTTGCATCTTGCTTATAGGCAAATATCTTCAGGCACAAAAAGCAATGGTAATAAACAACATATTTAGACTTCATCAAAATTAAAATCTTCTACTCATCAAAAGTAATCATTGAGAAAACAAATAGGCAAGTCAAAGACTGGGGAAAAATATTTGCAAAACATATTTCTGATGAACAATTTCTGTTCAGAATATATACAGAACTCCTACAACTCAATAATAAAAATGCAAACAACCTGGTTAAAAACAGGCACAAGATTAGAATAGACCCTCCTCAAAGGAACAATAAGCACATGAAAAAGAGCTCAGTAGCATTAGACATCAGGAAAGTACACATAAAAATCACCATGAGATCTCATTATATTCCCCCCACAGGAATGGTTGAAAATCTTAATAAAGGAATGGTTAGAGATCCCATCATATACTTGTTGGTGGGAGTTTAAAATGGTACAGCACTTTGGGAAAACTTCTAGCAACTTATTATAAAACTATACATACATTTACCCTATGACCCAGAAACTCCACTACTGGTAATCAATCTAAGAAATGTTAAAGTATACATCAATGAGTTTTTATAACAAAGTTCATTAAAGCTTTATTCATAATAGTAAAAAAATGGAAACAGTCCAGTATTCATCAAGAGGACAGAAACAAAATGGTGGCATATTCAAACAATTGGGATGCTAATCAACAATGTAAGGAACAGACAACTGATGTAAGTGCCAACATGGGTAAATTCTTGAAAACATTGTGCTGAGTAAAGGAAGTTTTCTACACAGAGTACCTATTGAGTAATTCATCTATGTGCACTTTTAGAATGGGCAAAACAAATGTATGATGAAAACAATCAGCATAGTTGTTGCCTCTGGAGGTGCTGGCAGTGGAGATTGGGAAGGAACATGAGAGAAATTTCTAGAGTGATATTAATTTTCTATATCTTGACAGCAGTTTGGATTATCCAGATATATAAATTTTCAAAACAGAATTACACATTTAAAATTTGTGCTATTTACAGTAGATAAATTTTACCTAGAAATAAAGAAGAAACTTAAACTTATACTAAACTCTGCTAATGATATGCATGCTGAAGTGTTTAGGGGTGATATATACTAATGTCCGCAACTAACTAAATTACATCAATACATATGGGAGATTGATACATAAATAGAAGGATAGATGAATGGGTAGATATGTAATACATCAAAAACAGCAAAATGTTAATTGTAGAATCTTGGCAATGAATTGGGTGAACACTATATAGTTCTTTCAACTTTTCTGTATTTTTGGCAATTTTTACAAGTAAATTTTTGGAAAAATTACAGATGATTGGAGGATCCTAAATGCAGTCTTCTCTTCAGTTCCAACCCTACTTCCTATCCTACTTCATAACTGTATACCAATGTTTGAATTGTAAGTAAAAATAACCTCTCATAAGAGTGGTTAATAATTACTTTAGTGATACATGTAAATGACTCCCCCATTCCATGATTGGCATGCCCAGAGTACTGTTTTTAACATGGGGAATTGCTAATGGTAAAGTGGCCTCATTGCATTTGAGCTGAATATGTGTGCAGACTAAAAATTAGCCTAACTTGCCTGTAGTATTTAGAGCTATAGACCTAAAATCCTAAGATTAAACATATTAATTGTTCCATATTAGCAGCATTTAAAGCAGTGGCCTCTTCAGGTTTGAATCTATAGTTAACAGGTCACTATTGTGCCTCTACCTTCACCCTTTTTTATTGTATTATCTCCCTGCCTGCTGGAGGTGATTGCTGTAGAGCAGGGGTACCCAACACTCGGGCCGCTGACCAGCACAGGTTCATGGCCCGTTAGAAGCTGGGCCACACAGCAGGAGGTGAATGCACATCACCCACCTGGGCTCTGCCTCCTGTCAGATCAGCGGCGGCATTAGTTTCTCATAGGAGCACGAACCCTATTGTGAACTGCGCATGTGAGGGATCTACGTTGAGCGCTCCTTATGAGAATCCTAACTGATTCCTCATGATCTGAGGTGGAACAAGGAACAGTTTCATCTGGGAACAATCCCCGCACCCCTCTCCACTCAGTCCATGGAAAAGTTGTCTTCCACGAAACCTGTCCCTGGTACCAAAAAGGCTGATTACTGCTGCTTTAGACAACTGCACTGTTTAAAGTTTATATACTTAATTTACCACAAATCTAGAAGCACTTAAGATAATCGCACAGAACACCTGAAGTTTTCTTACTAGAAAAAAACATTTTAAGTAATAAAGTTGTATGGGATACCATATGTCTTAAGATTCAGATTCAGGGTTGCTGAGAGAGAGCTTCCTAACCCACCCTCACCACTATCTTTGGCTGAGTACATTTACAGTGGCAATGGGCTATTTCTCAGCAATTGCTTTCTAGGAATTTATCTTTCCCTCCCCAAAGAGTGGGCTTTAAAATGAAGCACATAGTTTCTTGAAAATATCATATTAGAGTGGTTATTGTGTTAAATGCTTTCATTCTCTCACCCCGTTGTTATTAAAGCCACTCTTCTCTTGGGGGATGGAGGCAAAGACAGTCAGAAAGGGGCAAAAACACAAAAAGACAAAAACATTCCGGGAACGCTGTTACTGCTTTCACAGGTCACAGCCTTCTCTGAAAACTTGTCAGGCGTCCCCTCCCTCTGTTTTGCAGGTGGTTAGAATCATAATTGGGCCCTAAAAAAAATAAAATAAAAAAAGTTGTGGCTGGAGATCAAAAGTTAAAAACATCATTAATTATTGATAGGCCTGGATTTTGACAAGAGCATCCTTTGGGTCAGAGATGAGTTAAGAAGCACTTAACAAATAAGCAGGCTTGCAGATTATTTTTGCAGTTCTTGTTGGAACAAAAGAAATATAAAAAAAAAAGATAGGATTTTATTATCTAGATATGACAATCTTTTATTCAAAAAAATGATTACTATATTATACAAAGCCTTGCCTCTCGACCAAACATTTAAAATGAATGGTAGGAAAAAAGACAATCACATAAAAAGATGGGTGGTCAATGCCAAGTGTGACATTCACGTATTCAGAGTAAAACGTTTTTCTTTATCTCACTCTCTACTGTCCTTTTAGCTATCGTTTTGAGGGAAAGCATTTTTGTTCTTTTCAATGTGTATTCCTTTTGACCATCGTAGACTAATTTGAATTTTTTCTAAGTAGGTCACAAATAAGTTATGATGCTGCTCCTTTCTATTTTAACAGCAGCATGGTAACAGCGAGCTGCATTTTAGAAGGAGAGGCTTGTGGGTACCAGTTAGAACAGCAGTAAGAGTCGAGACATGATGTGTTCCTTCTTTACTCTTTACCCCCCACATGAAAAGGCCTTAGCCCCCAGCTTTGCCTCAGGCCAAAGCCATGAGGCCATAGCCTAAAGCTCCTGATGAATCCTCATAGACTTCTCTGGTCAGAGTTTCTCAGGCAAAACCTGCACAAAACAAATGCTTTTCACTTGATGTCTGCCTCTTGAAAGCTTGGAGCAAAGATATCTCTTTGAAAAAAAACGAAACAAATTTGAAATTATGCTTATAAGGCCATTTTTTATCTTTTGCCATTTGTGTATGCAGCAAATGCTAAATATTGTATTGCCTAGCAGGAAGTCAAATACAAGTGCCCACTGTGTCTTAAATAAAATAAGAAGCATGTTCATTTAGAAACTGTGAGTGGTAATTCAACATGAAAATCTGGGGGCAAAGAAATGATCTTGGGAGCCCCTGGGCAAACCTGGAGAACTGGCACATGGGCAGTCAGCAACCTGCTTTCTTTCATTACCAATGAGATGTGCATTGCCTTTTTTCCCCTGTCTTTATTCATTTTTCAACAGCCTGCCACATGCAATATGCCAAATCTCATATAAAAAAGCCTTCTACACACACACACACACACACACACACACGTGCACACACACACGAACTAAAGAACCTTCAGCAGATCCTGACATAGACAGACAGTAAAAACAGCCATCTGCACTGAAGCCCAGGATTTATTCAATTATACTTGCCCGAGTCATTTGTTTGGCTTTGCAATGTAAAGAGTTCTGTTTTATTGTTGGGACTTTTCAGGCTGTCTAATTGTTTTCAAAACTCTTCTCCCCAGATGCGTTTGGCATTTACCAACAGTGAACAAGCACGAGCAGTGGAATGCAAAAATGTGTGTGCATCAAATGAACATGAAAATCTTCACCCAGGTCACCTGCCAGAATCAAACTAAGGTTCCTGGTATTTAATGGAAAGGTTAAAAGAAGTTTATAGCTTTAATGCCTGTGGCACACTGATTACTTTTCAAGATTTTGAGGATTAAAGCCTATGAGAGTCTTTTGAGCAAGTTTGAACAGTGGTGTTGGGAAGCATGAATGGCAGGTGGCTGGTCTACAGAATCTCATCCAGGTTCAAGCTTTTGGACATGATGTTATCAACACCCCACTCAGATTTCATGTTTCATCCTGAGGATTCTATCATTGCTCTAATCAAGTCAGATAATATGGTCAATGCTTTATTTTTATTTAAAGCAAGGCTTTTAGTACTATGTATGCTTTCAGTTAAGCCACATAGCTGCTCTAGCATAGTATTATTTGTGACCATAGCTGTTGTCTCCAAATGGTCATTAATATTCTTGTTAAAAAAAAAAGAGAGAATAATCATTGAGGTTCTCTTTCACAAAGTCTCTATTCTTATCAATGGCCATATAATGCTGATATCTTTTGGGTCAAAATGGAAAGATTTCATGCTGTACTTTGAAATACAGTGTTATATAGCACAATAAGTCTATTACAGGAAATCGTAAGTTTAATGTACAAAGCATATTAAAAAAACCCACAAAATTTGAATTTTTTTTAACCAGACATGAATCCAGTATTTTGGGTGCAAGCCTTGTTTAATGTACACCTGCTGAAAACGTTTCATACATAAACACAGATGGATATTTCTATGTATATACATATATATGTATATGTGTGTGTGTTTCCATGTCTGTCGCTATCTTTATACCTAACTTGGAAAGTTGATTACCTTAGTAATAGTTGGGCATATTTTATCCTGGCTTTTAGCTTACAACAATTATGGAAAGTCTGAATTTTTTTCATCTGTCTTCATTTGAACATGTCAAACATCTGTTAACTTGTTCCAGTCAGAATCATTTTACCCTATAAAAGAATCAAGTGGAAGACTACTTATAGTTTGTCTATGACATTTTGTTAAAAATTAAAAGCTTCCTCCCTCCCTCCCTCCCTTTCTTCCTTCCTTCTTCCCTTCTTTTCTCTATCCCTCCCTTCCTTCCTTTCTTTTTCCTTCCCTTCTTCTCTCTTTTCTTCCAAGCGTCAGTGCTTGGCTAGAATTGGAAATAAACTACCCTTTCTTTCACTGTTTCCAAAAAAGTATGCAAATGGAAATTTGAAAGCTATCACATAAAAGTATATCCAAGTAAAATCCTATATGAGAGACATGAACATAAAAACAAATGCTCCTAACTGTAGAATCAGGCAAAATGCCATGTTGATGTGTGCAGTCATGTAGTCAACTAACTCAAGATTACCCTTGTGGTGTTTTCCTTTCCAGAATTATTCACTGTCTCAGATTCAGATAGGAAGGGAATTCAGTGTCTTTCATTTCTGAGTTGCACCCATAGGTGATACACTGTAGGTGACCTTTATATCTTTTTGTTTCCCCAAATGCTAGCCTGAAGACATCTGTCCCTTGGGAGAGCACTAGTAGATTTTTTTTCTGGAGAAACTCTTGAGAGTTGCTCAGTTTTGGTGCTTAGTTAGAAAGCTCTCCGTGGGCTCAGACGGAAGCTTTCCTTTGCAAGACATCACAAGTGTAGGAGTTGTCTCCTTTTATTTGGGGGAAATAACCATCAGGGGCAAGTCTTCATTTCTATGGTGTCCTGGATGCTTCTCTATTTCCTGCTTTCTCTTATCATTTCATTTTCTAGGTATGAATTTGAAACATGGTGGGTTATGGCTTTGTCCTTCCAAGATTTCTTTAGTAAGATTTTGGGATCAGTATGTGTCCGGAGCTGAGCAGCCAGAACTATTTCAGTCATGCCTTTGGAGTCCTGCTGCAAATATTCAGAATTTTAGAACTTTGATTTATGTGAGAATGGGATACCATAGATACCATCCCTACCAACGAATGCACTGTTTTGCATCTGTTCGCTTTGCTTTCCTATGGGTCAAACAATGACCATTGCTAATTTATATGCTTTCTAAAAACATTGGTTTGTTGGGTATAAAATGTGGTTTCTCTGGGTTATAATACTGCTGCCAGACAGATGCCATGTTTTGCATATTATTAGTGTAACTTTGAAACCAACAAAGACAGTGAATTCATTGTATTTTAGATACGATTTAAATCAAGAAAACCGAAGCTTGGGAAATGACTATTGGGAATACGAAAATACTTTTTTTTTAAATTGGTTTGTTGTTTAACGTGTACTTAAGTGTCTACTGTGTAGTCCCTTACATTTATTCTTTCTCTCAGAAATGATTACTGGATGCCTACTGTGAGCTAGACATGGTATCAGATGTTTGGGTTACAGTGATGAATTGTAATGGGAAGAGAAATATGGACATGCCAAGAAGATTCCAGGGGAAAACAAAGCTAAACTAATACAAAAAATTAGGACATTGACCTTTGTCTGTACCAATAAATATTAAGGAATTTGAAGTTATTTGACAAATAGAGAGAGCTAAGGATGGGTTTCAAAAATTTTTCCAAGTGGTCGAGGTATATTTACAGAAGGCACTTCATGATGACAGAGAATAGCATGAGGCTAAGTGGGTAAAACTGGGGCAACTAAGAATTGAGCTTCTCATAACAAACTTCTTGACTTTAGAGCCAGCACAGAGTTTTTAAGGGAGCATGTGAACTTTCCTTCACTTGAAAACGTGAACGTTGGCCCACCTCCCGCTCTGTCAGATGATTTAGCTTTTATCTGCTGTAGACAGGGAGTTTGGACCAGAGGGCCCTTCTTGTCCTTCCCACTGTCACTGATTCTCTGATACATGTTTTGGAAAACAGCTTTTGTCAAAAAGCAACTTGCCACAATTGGTTCTTTATGACATTTTTCCCGACTTTGTCCAGAGTGAAGTGAGGTTTAGTCTGTAAGGAAGAAGGTGAAGGTGACAGTCAGTTTCATGAAGGGTACACAACAGCCTGCTACAGGTGAGGACCTGAATCATCGCACCACTCTCCTTTTAAGTTATTATGCCACATCTCACTCAAACATGAAGCATTTCATCTCAGGAGTAGTTCCTTTTTATTGTAGCATTGCTCTTTTCTTTGCCGTAATTAAGATTCTGTCACTGTTTCCCTTATAAACTCCTATTTTCTGGAATTTATAACTAAAGGCTAAAAATTCCTTCTAGGCTGAAACTTGAAAAACTGCAATCTGATCTTTTTACATGTTGGATTTTTTTCCTCTTCTGTAAAGGAAGGATAAGTTCAGCTGAGCTTAAAAGGGTCCTGATGTGGGAAAAATTAGACTGAGGATTTTCCTTTAGTTTCAACTCTATTGTGTCTAATGAACTTTGAGTTTACAGACTTTGAGCTTTTAAATGTTAGATATATGCCTTAAAGGACTATTTAGAAATAAATGAGGTTTGGAGTTTGTAAGAGTCTTGTCTTTACTATAATATTTCACCAACTATGCTCTAAGGAAAAATGATGAATAAAATAACTAGAAATCCCTTCTCAAAATTAGTGCATTTTTGTAGCTAATTATTTAGCTATTTCTGAGCTTCCCTAACCCACATAGATTTATGCCACACCTCTAGCAGTCTGATCCAAAGAGCATCTGTTAATGATGGCAAGCAATAGGTTTAAAAAGTAACAGAAAATAGCAAAGGAGAAGCAATTTTTGCCTATCTCTTTTAGTTTTGGTTGAGGGAAACTGGGAATGCTGAATTCATAGAACACTGCATTTCAAAGGCAAAGAACAGGCTAAGTAGAAGTGTTACCTTAGTCCTATTGATCCTTGGGGTCCAGGAAGCCAAATTTGAATCAATTGAACTCTACTTGGTTTAGGATAAATGATTTGATGAATCTCCCCAAAAAAGTCATTTTATTTTTTCTAGGTATACAAGTCCAGGTATAAGAGAAGTTATTTACTTCACAAGAGTATGAAAACCTGAAAGGATAAACATTCATTAATTCCTGTCTCTTGCATTCATGTCTGGATGTGTCTGACCCTCAGACCTAAAAAAATAAGAAAATTCAAACCTACAAATATCATCATTTTTATGCTTTCCCCTTTTCTTCCCCTAGGCAGATATCCCCGGCATTTAATGTGAATGTCCTTGCTTCTGAGACTTTCAATTCTTTATTTTTTTATATAAAAGTAGGTTTCTTTTGATTTAAAAAAATGAATTTTTTATGCCAGAAGGGAGATGTTTTATGTTTCTTTTATGTTCTCTTCTTTTCACTCCACATGAATAGGTTTACCAGTTTTATTTTTTATTTTCAGATGAATACAATTTCATGTTAAGCTGGACAAATTTATTCAACCCCAGTTCAAGTACAATTTAAAAAAAATAAATAAAGCAAGGTCAGGCTAGCTTTGGTTTTTTAAAAATATTTTCTTTTATAATAAATTCTCTCTCAAATGATGCCTATGTGTATATTTTGACATAATCATGGGTAAAAATGTGCAGTGTCTGAAATCTAAAATGACACTGGAATATCTTTTCTTGCATTAGCATTACTTTAGTATTCCTACAACAGAGGATGATTTGGGGAAATACAGAGGCTTTTGGTTTATATATATACCTCTGATTATTATCCCACTTCCTTTAGCTACAGATCCAATTTCATACCATGATGGATGTATTTCTCAGAGTTCAAAAGAAGTGATGGCAAAAAGAAGGGCTTTAAATAAGGCAACCATGAGAGCCCAAGATGTGAAATTCAAAATCAAATGCCATAGAGTTAAATGATGATCTAGTTTTTGATTTCTGCTCCAACAACTGAGGTATATTTGGGGTCTTCAAGTGTAGCATCATGTATGAAAACAGTACTAGGAATCCAGACAAGGATGACTGTGACATTCATGTTTCATTTCATCTAGTATTTTATTTTAATCAATGACTTTAAAAGCCATGTCCTGGGAGGGCAGAGGTGTCATCACTTTAGAGGAAATAGATAAATCACCACACACTAAAGGGTGCAAGAATTAGGCAAAATGTTGAAATGTTGTTCTCATTTTATTTATGGCATTACGATACTTTAGACATAGTCAAAAAGTTACTGGTGATTTCAGCATCCTGGAGATTTCAGGTGGGTATTGATAGGTGGTTTGTAGAAAATTCTCACAAGTGTAATTGCATTAAAGTAACAGATGATGCTGTTGGTAGTTGACGATTATTCTACATTAAACTTAAGAAGCAAATAGTTATCTGGCTTTTTTGCACTCATGATGTTTTTATAATAGAAATTTCTGATATGCAACAGAAGTTAATTGACTATTTCAATTTATTTGGTTTCTTCCCTGGTTGAAAACAGAAAGGAAAGAGAGAAAAGATGGAAGGACAAAAGGAAGAATTCATTCCTTTGAGGCACAATATTGTGCTTTCAAGATACCAAGTTTAAAAAGAGAATACTCTTTAATAAGATAAAATGAATTGAATATAATCAGTATTGTGCAAATTAATTTACTTTGCAATGATAGTGTACATGATGGGTGTGGGTGAGGCAAGAGAATCCTGTGGCTCGAGATAGGGGGTTCTCATTGAGACAAGGGACAATACAAGGGGGAAGAGAGACACAAAAGAGGAGGAAACAGACGCCAAAGTCCAATTTTGATTTTGTTCTTGGATTTGTCTAATGCTGGCCTTGAACACAGTTCTCGTAAGTTCTATCAAATAGTACTGAAGATAAATACTACTCCTTTCAAAATTTAGTTGAGTTTCTTTGTTTGATAAAATACTGGTAAGTGGAACACCCATGGAACCAGAGGCAGGAGATTAGCTGTCACTTAAGAGCTGTCAGCATCTTTCCAATTATTTTATTAAATGAGGGACAGTTAATGGTATCTAAAATTTCTCTGCCTTATAAAATGCAAAAACGTATCCATTCAGTTCTATGAACTCCAAATTAAATTGGACAGCCCTAGGATTATACTTCCTATTGTCTGCATGTACAAATTGATAAACATTTTATAATATGAATTTGTGAATTTTTGGGTCACAATTCTGAGTTAGGTTAAAACCATTTTGCAAAAACTATTGTCACCTGCAGGCTCCTTGCAATAGGACACTAAGTTTCTTTAGTAATTTTCTTTAAAATGTGGCTATTGTAGTGTTTAGAGAGAAATCTGGATAAAGAGAACTGAAGGAACCCTTTTGGTATATTCAAATGAAAAGGAATATTTCCAATTCTAATGCGCCTGAGTAATTCTCAGAGAACAAAACCTTGGAGCAAATATCAAAAGGTTATAGTCTTTTATTATGATTAATAATAATAATAAGATGATGAAGAAGAAAAACAGTTTTTCCCTCTTACTGTTTTTGTTGTCATATACTGGAAAAATAAATTCTAATCTAACATTTTATTCCTCCTCCATTCTCCTTGTCTCAAACTTGTGGGGTTCTCAACTTGAAAACTTATTTTTCTCTTTCAAAATGTGCATTAAAGCACAAATGACTTTCTCACTTTGATGTTGCCAGAGAAACTTGAGCACTATGTAATTAAGCTTCTGCTTTAAAGTATTTCTCGCAACAAACACAGGCTTCTAGGACTAAGACTACATAATAAATGTTATTAACTGTACATATAAATAGGAAATGTGTCTTGCAAAGCATTATATTAGCTGAATGAGCTTGCCTTATTCCAAAGTCATCTCTTTGCTAATAATGACTCATGAGTTTCCTTTCCATTATTTAAAAATAACATAATTACAGGTGATTCTGTAATAATTTGACATATCTTATATTCATATCTGAACCTATTAATTAGAAACAACATAGGTATTTATAATGCGCCTTTATTATTCAAGTTAGTCCCTTTAATCCTATTTGAATAGGCAGATAAAAATTAATCCCTTCAAACATTTTTATAAACAAACATTTAAAGTCACGTATTTTCATCTTTGTCCTCAGCACCTATGCTGAAAGCTTTCATGATTGAAGTTGATAGAAGTAATAAACAAGTGATTGGGCAAGAATAATATGCAAATTTTTTTCTTTGCAAAGAAGGGATATGTATTCACTGAAGAGTTCTCCCGATCCACAGGGGTTTAAAATCACAGAGAATTATTTTAGAGTGTGGTAATATCCTTAGAAATTAATGATTCAATCATTCTTGGGGGTTAGGTTGTCATGGAGGTCCTTGACTGTTCTCCTGAGCCCGTCCATCTCATAAAACAAGCAGGTGTCTATTTGAAAACTTTCTAGACCAAGAGGACCAGGCTAGTACAAGGCCTTTAGGTTTCTCAGAGGGTCCCTTGGAGTAGGCATTTGCTAACATAATAATAACAGAAGGAAGCCACACTGAAGCCAATTTTGGATTCTTTTTCCAGCACTGTGATCCTCACCACAAGGTCACTGGAAGCAGGGGAGGAAGCAATTGTTTTTCCCTGCTGTGAGCAATGGATTTGAACATGCCTCACACTGCTTTCATGCTGCGTTTTCTTTCCCTCCCCTTTCCCCATAACACAAGTGTAAACTGAGCATGGGAAAGCCCTTTGGGCACTAAAAATAACACAGTCTATCCACAGATCAACTGATTATCTTATTTCACTTATTTCCTCAGAATTATGCAGAGTCCATCAGTTAAGTAATGATAACTTTTTAAACCAGAAGGAACTAAAAAATAGCTGGTATTCGTTTATGTTTTGAATATTTTTGTTATAAAGTGTAGAAAATTTGAGAAATATAGTAAAGTAAAAAGGAATACAATAAAAAAATTAGTAAGCATAAAACTAAGGAGTAACTGTGCTTGATATTTAGTTTAAATTCCTTCCAGGCTTTAACATGGTTTAATAATGGAGATCATGTAATAGAGATAGCATTACATATTTTTTCATGTTATAAAAGTCTTTGACAGCGTATTTTTAATTAGCTACATGACATTCCTTCTCATTTAAGAAAATTTAAGAAATTTTTAAATTTAAGAATTTAAAGAATTTAAATGTAAGAAATTTAAATTGGATTTAAGAAAAAAATTAACCATTCTCTTATTATTGGAAAGTAAGGCTCTTTTGATTTTAGTTTTGTTAATAAGAATTCTTCGAGTCTCCTTTAATGTAAAAGTATTTTATCTGTAATTATTTCCTTAGAATTTATTACTACACATGGAATTTACTAGGTCACAGCGTGTGAATATTTTTAAAGTTCTTGATACAGAGCTAAATATTTCTTTGAGAAGTTGTTCAAGTTTACATCCCCAACAGTATATGAGAATGTCTATTTCCCACATTTTCAGAAACGTTTAGAACTATTGTCCAATTTAAGTTAGACAAGTTACTTGCTGATAAATGCTATTTTATTTTTTGTTTCTATTGAGTTCTGAATAAACTAGCACAGTTTTGTACTTAAACATTCGTTGTTTCACACTTTTACTATTTCTTCTGAGAATTGTTCTCCCTTCGTCATACCCTTTGCCACTTTTTTCTTTCAATTGTTTGTGCTTCTGATATTGATTTCTAAGAATTCTTTACATAACAAGGATATCTATCAGCACTTTGTGCACCACAGTTATTGAAAATATTATATTCCAAGTTTTATTGACCTATGTATTTAATTGTTCCTGGTGTAGAGGAGTTATGAATGTTGGGAGACAATTCTGCATGGATCTTTTTGTTTCTGCACATCTTGTGAACAGAGACGCTAACAGCTTTTTGTTTTAGGACTATCTTTTCAAGGATGTTTGTCCAGCAAACAGCCCTGGAAAATAGACATCGTGTCCCCATTGGAAGCATAGGAAAGAGGATCTTAGCGCCCATGAGAAAAGGTTAGGGCTCCTTAAACTCAGGTTCCTCTCCTGTAATTCAACCCGCTTGTCCAGGTGTCACCTGAATACCTTCACATTGTTCTGTGGGAAAGGAATGTCGCAGAACTGATACAAATTTGCCCTGGGGGGTTTATTAAAAATAATCATTTAGTTAATTTTATACCATCTTCAACATTTTATTACTCTTCAATGTTTTAAATTCTTCCTTTTCAATTTGGATATTTTGTTTTCCAAAATGTTTCTGTGTCCTGAGTATTTTCAGATTATAATAAATTTCTGCAATATATTTCCTCATAATCAATACATCTTAAATTCTGTTGTATCTTTTGGTGATGAACCCTTTTTGAATTTCTTAATTTAATAATTAGGCTTGAAAGAAACTACCTCTACAATTTCTTAGTTCATTTTGTGGTTCAGTGTTTGCTTTCTAATTCATGCACTTCTGCTTTCAGTTTTATTATCTTTACTTGTGGTTTGTTTTATTCTCATTGTTATTTAATTTTTAGTTGTATTTTAAATTTATTCATTTTTTTGAAATTCTACCAGTTACGTTCTTTTTGACTACAGGTGGTATAAATGTTGACTCCAAGGAGTCTAACAATAAAAATATATATTAATCTCGTATCCCTGTAAGTCTAGAGGTAGGGTAGGTGCTATGGATCAGTACTTGAAGATTTTATTAAGGACTCTGTTACTTTTCATCTCTCTTCTCTGTCTTCCTTAACATCAGGTCCCATTTCAGACAGGTTAACATCATGGTCACAAGGTGGCCATGTGGTAGCCAGGTTACATACTTTCTTGTTCATTTTCAGAGGAAGACAGAAAGCTTCTCTTCCAGATCCTTTTCTTTCATCTGATCAGACCAGCACAAGTCATGGAAGCATCCCTATTTCAACAGCATTTTGCAAGGAATGTTATAACTAATTCAATTAGTCTGTCAGGATCTATGCCCACAGCTGGCAACGGGGTGACCTTCATCTCAGTCATGAAGGGCTACATTGATGGACAAATTTGGGGTTCTCTTAGAAAGAAAGAAGGGGTTTTTGGGTAGGCCACCAGCAGCATAAATGAGAGTCTTCAAGGCTAAAATTTATATTGCGTTTGTCCACATTACAAGTTTTAGTATATGACCATTTTGATTATTTAATAATCATCTGTAAATTATTTTATCCTCTTTGATTTGTTATATTGGGATGTGCTTTTAAATATCTAAATGTTAAATATTTTCTGTTTAAATAAGTGGTTATGACCTATATATATATATATATATATATATATATTCTGACGGTTCTAATTTATTAAAGTTTTCTTTGTGTCTATCCACGTCAATTTGTAAATGTTCCAGTGATGGGGAGCTATATATTCAGATAATTCTATTGGTAGTTAGCTTTAAGCGTCACAATAAAAAATAACTTGAAGCAAGCTCTTTAATTTTATTTATTTAACAAACACATAGCTGACCAAGTGCCAGGAAATTTTTCAATTGCTTTGTAAATATTACTTAATGTATCCTCACAACCCTGTAAGTTAATCCCTGTTATTATTCTATTATTCAGATGGCACAGAAAGGATAAGTCACTTTTACAGGTCACACAGCTAGCAAGTTGCCCTGCTTACATCTAAACATGAATGTCCTGGTCCCAGAAGCCATATCTTTAACACTCTCCTAAACGAGCTATCAATCAATAAAAAAGTAATAAAATGACTCTGAATACAATCTGAATAGATTGAGTGGCATCAAGTCTAAATTTGCCTCTGTGGTTCCAAATAAAATAACCAAAACAATTTGTAAGAAAGAGGAGAAAAAAAAAAAAAGAACTGGTAGCAATCAAATAAGGAAAGGGACACTATATCTTGTCATAATCTTCAAAACATGGGGACTAAGGAAAAAAAAGATTTGGTGGGGTTCAGTTTATTTCTAAACCACTGTCCATTTTCCTCTTTAGTACTAGGAAAACAAGATAAATGTTTAAAATCCAGAGAAATCTCACTGATAATGTCCTGACTTTGAGAAAGGGTTCTGAGAAGTGAGTGGATAGTCACACATAGAAACTATTACATATCAGCAAAAATCTTAGCAAAGGAAGGCAATATTTAGGATTTCCCATTGATTCTTCTTGATCAGGAAGAAATGAAGCATTAAGGTAAAATACTTATAATTTCATAGGAGTTTATCTTCCTCCTCCACCAAAAGAGACACAGTGGAACTGCGGCCAGGAGCTAAAATAAATGAGACAAAGACCCCCCACCTCCCCTCCCGACAGAAAAGGAAAATGTAAGGGAAGCTGTATTAAGATCCTCCAGCTGTGAATAATCCCTCTCTGATTATTCACCCACGTTTCAAGGGTGTCAGACCACGCAGGGACGCCTGCCTTCGTCCTTCACCCTTAGCGGCAAGTCCCGCTTTTCTGGGGAAGGGGCAAGTACCCCAACCCCTTCTCTCCTTGTCTCTACCCTTTCTCTGCTTTTCTGGGGCAAGGGCAAGTACCCCAATCCCTTCTCTCCTTGTCTCTACCCCTTCTCTGCTTTTCCGGGGAAAGGGCAAGTACCCCAACCCCTTCTCTCCTTGTCTCTACCCCTTCTCTGCTTTTCTGGGAGAGGAGCAAGTACCCCTCAACCCCTTCTACTTCACCCTTAGCAGCAAGTGCCGCTTTTCTACGGGGCAAGAACCCCCAATCCCTTATTTCCATGCCCCAACCTCTTATCTCTGTGCCCCAATCCCTTATTTCCGCACCCCGACCTCTTATCTCTGTGCCCCAATCCCTTATTTCCACACCCCGACCTCTTATCTCTGTGCCCCAGTCCCTTATTTCTGTGCCCCAACCTCTTATATCTCTGCACCCCAATCCCTTATTGCCACGCCCAACCTCATATCTCTGTGCTCCAATCCCTTATTTCCACGCCCCGACCTCTTATATCTCTGTGCCCCAATCCCTTATTTCCGCACCACAACCTCTTATCTCTGTGCCCCAACCCCTTTTCCCACTTTTCTGGAAGGTAAGAACCCCCAAACCCCTTCCCTCCATTTCTCTACTCTCTCTTTTCTCTAGGCTTGCTTTCTTCACTATGGGCAACCTTCCACCCTCCATTCTTCCTTCTACTCCCTTGGCCTGTGTTCTCAAAAACTTAAAACCTCTTCAACTCACACCTGACCTAAAACCTAAATGCCTTATTTTCTTCTGCAATGCCGCTTGACCCCAATAGAAACTTGACAGTAGTTCCAAATAGCCAGAAAAATGGCACTTTGAATTTTTCCATCCTGCAAAATCTAAATAATTCTTGTCGTAAAATAGGCAAATGGTCTGAGGTGCCTGACGTCCAGGCATTCTTTTACACATCAGTCCCTTCCTAGTCTCTGTGCCCAGTGCAACTTGTCCCAAATCTTCCTTCTTTCCCTACCGCCTGTCCCCTCAGTACCAACCCCAAGCGTCGCTGAGTCTTTCTAATCTTCCTTTTCTACAGACCCATCTGACCTCTCCCTTCCTCCCCAGGCTGCTCCTAGCCAGGCCAAGCTAGGTCCCAATTCTTCCTCAGCCTCTGCTCCTCCACCCTATAATCTTTTTATCACCTCCCCTCCTCACACCTGCTCCAGCTTACAATTTCGTTCCGTGACTAGCCCTCCCTCACCTGCCCAGCAATTTACTCTTAAAAAGGTGGCTGGAGCCAAAGGCATAGTCAAGGTTAATGCTCCTTTTTCTTTATCCCAAGTCAGAAGCGTTTAGGCTCTTTTTCATCAAATATAAAAACCCAGCCCAGTTCATGGCTCGTTTGGCAGCAGCCCTGAGACACTTTACAGCCCTAGACCCTAAAAGGTCAAAAGGCCGTCTTATTCTCAATATACATTCTATTACCCAATCTGCTCCTGACATTAAATAAAACTCCAAAAATTGGAATCTGGCCCTCAAACCCCACAACAGGACTTAATTAACCTCACCTTCAAGGTGTACAATAACAGAAAAAAGTTGCAATTCCTTGCCTCCACTGTGAGACAAACCCCAGCCACATCTCCAGCACACAAGAACTTCCAAACACCTGAACCGCAGCAGCCAGGTGTTCCTCCAGAAACTCCTCCCCCAGGAGCTTGCTACACGTGCCGGAAATCTGACCACCAGGCCAAGGAATGCCCGCAGCCCAGGATTCCTCCTAAGCCGCGTCCCATCTGTGCGGGACCCCACTGAAAATTGAACTGTTCAACTCACCTGGCAGCCACTCCCAGAGCCCCTGGAACTCTGGCCCAAGGCTCTCTGATTGACTCCTTCCCAGATCTTCTCGGCTTAGAGGCTGAAGACTGACACTGCCCGATCGCCTCGGAAGCCCCCTAGACCATCACGGACGCCGAGCTTCGGGTAACTCTCACAGTGGAAGGTAAGCCCGTCCCCTTCTTAATCAATACGGAGGCTACCCACTCCACATTACCTTCTTTCCAAAGGCCTGTTTCCCTTGCCTCCATAACTGTTGTGGGTATTGACGGCCAGGTTTCTAAACCTCTTAAAACTCCCCAACTCTGGTGCCAACTTAGACAATACTCTTTTAAGCACTCCTTTTTAGTTATCCCCACCTGCCCAGTTCCCTTATTAGGCTGAGACACTTTAACTAAACTATCTGCTTTCCTGACTATTCCTGGACTACAGCTATATCTCATTGCTGCCCTTCTTCCCAATCCAAAGCCTCCTTTGCATCCTCCTCTTGTATCCCCCTACCTTAACCCACAAGTATAAGATACCTCTACTCCCTCCTTGGCGACCGATCATGCACCCCTTACCATCTCATTAAAACCTAATCACCCTTACCCCACTCAATGCCAATATCCCATCCCGCAGCACGCTTTAAAAAGATTAAAGCCTGTTATCACTCGCCTGCTACAGCATGTCCTTTTAAAGCCTATAAACTCTCCCTACAGTTCCTCCATTTTACCTGTCCTAAAACCAGACAAGCCTTACAAGTTAGTTCAGGATCTGCACCTCATCAACCAAATTGTTTTGCCTATCCACCCCATGGTGCCAAACCCATATACTCTCCTATCCTCAATACCTCCCTCCACAATCCATTATTCTGTTCTGGATCTCAAACGTGCTTTCTTTACTATTCCTTTGCACCCTTAATCCCAGCCTCTCTTCGCTTTCACTTGGACTGACCCTGACACCCATCAAGCTCAGCAAATTACCTAGGCTGTACTGCCGCAAAGCTTCACAGACAGCCCCCATTACTTCAATCAAGCCCAAATTTCTTCCTCATCTGTTACCTATCTCGGCATAATTCTCATAAAAACATACGTGCTTTCCCTGCTGATCGTGTCCGATTAATCTCCCAAACCTCAATCCCTTACAAAACAACAACTCCTTTCCTTCCTAGGCATGGTTAGTGCAGTCAGAATTCTTACACAAGAGCCAGGACCGCACCCTATAGCCTTTCTGTGCAAACAACTTGACCTTACTGTTTTAGCCTAGCCCTCATGTCTCCGTGCAGCGGCTGCTGCCGCCCTAATATTTTAGAGTCCCTAAAAATCACAAACTATGCTCAACTCACTCTCTACATTTCTCATAACTTCTGAAATCTATTTTCTTCCTTATACCTGACGCATATACTTTCTGCTCCCCGGTTCCTTCAGCTGTACTCACTCTTTGTTAAGTCTCCCACAATTACCATTGTTCCTGGCACGGACTTCAATCCGGCCTCCTACATTATTCCTGATACCACACCTGACCCCCATGACTGTATCTCTCTGGTCCACCTGACATTCACCCCATTTCCCCATATTTCCTTCTTTCCTGTTCCTCACCCTGATCACACTTGATTTATTGATGGCAGTTCCACCAGGCCTAATCGCCACACACCAGCAAAGGCAGGCTATGCTATAGCACAAGCCACTAGCCCGCCTCTTAGAACCTCTCATTTCCTTTCCATTGTGGAAATCTATCCTCAAGGAAATAAATTCTCAGTGTTCCATCTGCTATTCTACTGCTCCTCAGGGATTATTCAGGCCCCCTCCCTTCCCTACACATCAAGCTCGAGGATTTGCCCCCACCCAGGACTGGCAAATTAGCTTTACTCAACATGCCCCAAGTCAGATAACTAAAATACCTCTTAGTCTAAATAGACACTTTCACTGAATAAGTAAAGGCCTTTCCTACAGGGTCTGAGAAGGCCACTGCAGTCATTTCTTCCGTTCTGTCAGACATAATTCTTCAGTTTAGCCTTCCCACCTCAATACAGTCTGATAACAGACGAGCCTTTATTAGTCAAATCAGCCAAGCAGTTTTTCAGGCTCTTAGTATTCAGTGAAACCTTTATATCCCTTACAGTCCTCCGTCTTCAAGAAAAGTAGAATGGACTAAAGGTCTTTTAAAAACACATCTCACCAAGCTCAGCCACCAACTTAAAAAGGACTGGACAATACTTTTACCACTTTCCCTTCTCAGAATTCAGGCCTGTCCTCGGAATGCTACAGAGTACAGCCCATTTGAGCTCCTGTATAGACGCTCCTTTTTATTAGGCCCCAGTCTCATTCCAGACACCAGACCAACTTAGACTGTGCCCCAAAAAAACTTGTCATCCCTACTATCTTCTGTCTAGTCATACTCCTATTCACCGTTCTCAACTACTCATACATGCCCTGCTCTTGTTTACACTGCCGGTTTACACTGTTTTTCCAAGCCATCACAGCTGATATCTCCTCATGCTATCCCCAAACTGCCACTCTTAACTCTTGAAGTAAATAAATAATCTTTGCTGGCAGGACTATGCTGAATCTCCTTAGGCACTCTCTAATCAGATATCCTGAGTCATCCCAATTCTTAGACCTTTTATACCTGTTTTTCTCCTTCTGTTATTCCATTTAGTTTTTCAATTCATACAAAACCGTATCCAGGCCATCACCAATCATTCTATGCGACAAATGTTTCTTCTAACAACCCCACAATATCACCCCTTACCACAAGATCTCCCTTCAGCTTAATCTCTCCCACTCTAGGTTCCCACGCCACCCCTAATCCTGCTTGAAGCAGCCCTGAGAAACATCGCCCATTCTCTCTCCATACCACCCCCCAAAAATTTTCGCCGCCCCAACACTTCAACACTATTTTGTTTTATTTTTCTTATTAATATGAGAAGGCAGGAATGTCAGGCCTCTGAGCCCAAGCCAAGCCATTGCATCCCCTGTGACTTGCACATATAAGGCTCAGATGGCCTGAAGTAACTGAAGAATCACAAAAGAAGTGAAAAGGCCCTGCCCCACCTTAACTGATGACATTCCACCACAAAAGAAGTGTAAATGGCCGGTCCTTGCCTTAAGTGATGACATTACCTTGTGAAAGTCCTTTTCCTGGCTCATCCTGGCTCAAAAACACCCCCACTGAGCACCTGTTTAGCAGGTGCATCAGCTCTGACATTTCTGTATATGAGAAACTGTTTAGCAATTGTTACCAATGGAAAGAAGGCCTAGAACATTAAATTAGCTTTACTTTGCATTTTATACCTGTCTGTACTATCGAAAAATTTAAACCTTAAGCAGGTAATATTTTATTCATTTATTTTAAAATATTTTAAATATTAACAGATATATATTATGAGATGACATTGTGGGTCAGATTTTCTACTTTATAATCTTAGGCATAAAAACTAATTTTAAAGAATGTGAAAAAAGTGAATTAGACAATTTTACTAACATAAAATAGTGAATGTGACTTGTTCTTTCTGCCTCTCCAACTCTTCTCTATGGGGCTGATATATATACTCGGAAGAGGTTAAGATTATTATGGTCTTATTTTTAAATTAATATTTCTAATATTATATATGAAATATTTCACTATAATTTATGTTTAATTTAGCCTAATGTATTTATAAATCTAATTCTGATTTTATAAAATTAATAATCACTTCAGTGCTTTATACTATAATTTGTGTTTCTCCTTTAATTCACTGCATGACTATCAGATGCATGATTATTGAGTAAATTTTTCTAGAACATAGTAATATATTTTCTGAGCCTTCTATCTGAGAATATTTTTTAATTGCCTTTGTACATAAAAAAGTCTTGGCAGACCACAGAATTCTTGGATCTCATCCTTTTCTATTCAGAAATCCAAAGATGAGTCTAGTGTCTTCTGGCACTCAACATTCTAAGAAAAGCTAAGGCTGATCTAATTTCTTTGTAATTTTTTTTATTGCCTAGTTCCTGAAAGAATTTTGTGTTTACTCTTGAAATTCAATAATGTTGCCAGGATATTTCTAGGTATTAGCTATTTCTTATATACAGTATTTCAATTATAAGATGAACATTTTTCATTTTATTATCTCTTAAATTGGGATACACATCGCAATCAATGATTAGAAAGGATTATGTAATATTTTAATTGGCAGCAGTTTTTTAATAGTGAATTTGAAAATAATGATATGTTTTAGAATGACTGGAATCTCAAGTTTGAGGAAATAATAAACTATGGTCTCTATTAACATATTCTCTTATTAGGTTCCTTAATATTTTAAATTATTCTTTAAGTAAATCTACATATTTCTTGATATACCTACTTTGGTTTTGTTACTTCTTAAAATATCAAATTTTCTTATCTCTTCGAACTTATTTGCATATGGGTAAGCTTTTGATTTTTGTATATACCACCTTGCTGAATTACTGTAATGCTCTACTTGTTTTTTCAGTTGATTCTCTTGGGGTTTCTAAGTATGGATTCATACCATTGGCATATAAGAATACTTTTGCCCTCACTTTCCAATATGTTTATCTCCTGTATTTCCTTTCCTTCTTATTGGCCAGTGTTTGTTCTGATTGGTTGATACATAAACTCTACTGTTTAAATAACTTGTGCATCACCCCTGTGCTATATGACATGTTTCTACTCCTCTTTGGAGTAAGAAGAAGGTAAATGTGATTCATAATGAACCTATGTGATTTATAAGTGTGCTTCATATCAAAAATTAGCATATATTTCTTTAGTTTTCATCAGCTGCCTCCAAGTCGATTGCTCCTTCACCCTGACATTCTCTCCACCGGCTTCCTCCAAACATGGCTCATCTGAAGGCCTTTTCCCCTTGACCCCACTTCATGCTCTATAGTGTGAAAAATCATCATTATGACCAACTTACATATTGTCCACAACATCAGACTAACTGTTCTAACTAAAGGACGGCTGGTCAGGTGTTCTGCGCTTAGCATCTAGAACCTTTAAGAAACTGCATCTTGTAAGAGAACTGTAGACTTTTGTGTGTTTTCTCACGGTTCTTCTCCAATTTCATCCTAAATTCAATGTGCTTGGCAGCTATTTTTTTTATAACTTGAAGCCTAGGGTTGTGACTGTCTCCTGGTTTCATAATAATGGAGATTATTGTTTTCATCTTTTTATTTATTTTTTTAAAGTGAGTGATAGATGAAAAGAAAAACGGAAATGGCACCATGTTCTTTCCTAATGTGGCTGGTTCTCATGACATTTTTCTTTTAATAAAGCTCTCTTTCACTTTATCTTGATTGTATTATCTTCTTAAGAACACAAAGTAGATGCATTCTGAAATAAATGTATTATTAGTTTTTCTTATGTGTTTTATTTTAAAATCACTTTTTTAGGTTTGAGTCCCTCCACCTCATTAGACCAATTTTTCCTTTATGTTACAGGTTTTTGTAAAATGTATTATCCATGTATTTTGTTTGTTTGCATATACTTAAAAGTGGAGAGAATTTGCCAGGTCTTGCCAACCAACAGACTGTGTATAATCTCTTTGATATTTTTTATAGTAATGCGGAGATGTGGTGGGGTGTTAGGATACACTGTTCAAGTTTTATGCTGGAAAATAACTTGATGTTCATAGTCTCCAGCTAAATGTGCAGTCTAGAAGGCATTTATTTAATGTAACTTGGCTGGTTTGAGGTGAGATTAACTTTATTGTTGAGTGGTATGTGCCTTTTTCTTTACTAGCTAGTTCTGTAGCAGTTTCCACACTAAAGATCTATGGCAATTTATAATTTTCATTTTCTAAGTTGGAAATTTGAATATTACTTGGGCTGTTGTTTCAAAGAGTGATTTAGCCTCAGGTAAGCCAACTCTCCATTCTAATATCCACATCCCAAAATATCTTTATGGCTGTCTATACATTGTAACCCAAATACAGCAAGGTCGTTGAAGAAGAAACAAAAACTACACTCTCTTTTGTGGTTTTTGTTGGTATAAGTGGCTAGCCTTGAAAAGGAATTCCACTGCTTTATGACTTAATCCTACATTTATAGAATTACTAAAGGTTTTCAAGGGCTTTCTGTCCTTTAATGAATTTAAGGGAAAATTATAGGATAGGTTGTTGTAAAAAAAATGGCTATTTAAAGACTTTGGTATGTTTTTCTTCTTGTATATTATGGTTTTTCCTAAAAACTTCTTGAAGAATTTCTATTTTTTTTTCAGAAATATATTATCTAGTTTATTCCTTGACTCAGTCCTTTGCCTTTCAACTTTGTTAATATTTCTTTAACTATTTTACTATTTTATGATTTGAATTTACATCTCGGCTGAGCAAAGGCAAGAAGAGAGGAATTTGTAGTTATTGCTTTCACATGTTGATTTACAGTCTTGCCAACACTTTGAAATGTTTGGATCTATTTTTCTACTACTAAGAATAATAAAAAGATCTTATGTTTGCTGATTATATTTCTATTTCTCAGCAATGATAATACTTTCATCTGGGCTTCAAGATGTTAAAATCATATACAGAAATGTCAGAGCTGATGCACAAATATATTCAACACAATTCTCCTTTTAAATGGAAATTTTCATAACAGTTGATTTGGTGCCTAATGTGATTCTCTGTCAAATGTCTATGGCTTAAGGTAATCCATGCCAGGCTTTACCTTTATTTTCCTAAATAATCAAAAATTGTTTGAATTTGCAAGTTCGAACATTCTGTATTCATTCTCTGGACTATAATTTCGTTCTAAGAGACTGATGTAGATGATGTCCTCCCAATGCTTCCTTGCCTCTGGGATTGAATCAGACATGGCATTCAACCTCTGTCCACACAGGCAAAATGAAGTGCAAAACTGAATTAATTAACCAGATGTCTCTAACGAAAGTAATCCACTATTGAGGAGAAGGTAGGAGTTTGAAGCTAGAATTATTATTTTTTTAAATTGGTTAAATTCAAAACATAACTAATTGCTCAACTTGGCCAGAAAATTGGCAGCTCCTCTTTGTGGATAGGGGTATCTAGTCTTAATCTCTCAAGTGTTCAAATTCTTGTAATAAAATTCTACTAGAACTAGAGTTACTGTTTCAAAAAATCCCTGCTCTATTCTCACTGAATTCAAACTTTTTCCCCCCATGAGAGGCCAATTCTTTTTCCTTGCAGTATTAACTAATTCAGAAAGAAGGGCTAAGTTAATATTTAAAGTCATGCTCCTGAAAATGCCTATCATAATTTTTAAAAAGAAAAAAAGGGGCTGGGCACAGTGGTTCACACCTGCAATCCCAGCACTTTGGAAGGCCGAGGGGGCGGATCACAAGGTCAGGAGATTGATACCATCTTGGCTAAGACCGTGAAACCCCATCTCTACTAAAAATACAAAGAATTAGCCAGGCATGGTAGCACACATCTGTACTCCCGGCTACTCAGGAGCCTGAGGTAGGAGAATCGCTTGAACCCGGGAGGCTGAGGCTGCAGTGAGCCAAGATCACACCACTGCACTCCAGCCTGGGTGACAGAGCAAGACTCCGTCTCAATAAAATTAAAAAAAAAGAGAAAAGAATTCTTTTTTATTTAAAAGCTACTTCCTTCTAGCTATATCTTTTCTAGGTGCATAATGCTAACATCAATGAACCTCACTGGTAAAGTTTTTGGAGGAAAGCAAGGCACTTTTCTAAGCACACCAGACAAGTTGAATTCTTTTTGGAATTAAAAATAATCATGAGGACATTTAAAAACATGCCTGCAGTGGGTCACTGAGTGTATAAAGAAAATATAATAGTAGTTGATAATAAGTAGATATCCCATATTTTCAAAGTACCATCTTACTGGGATTCATACCAAAATGGCATAAAGTCCAAGAACGTTCTCATGAATTCCATTTTTTCTGGACTGATTTGAGGGAAAACACTTAGTAAATAGGTGGAGGTAATTAGGTCTTGTGAACTGGAGCAAGAAAGCCTTAGGAATTGGGATTTAAAAGGGCAAGTTCAGTCAGGTGTGGTGGCTCATGCCTGTAATCCTATCACTTTAGGAGACTGAGGTAGATGGATTGCTTGAGTCCAAGAGTTCAAGACCAGCCTTGGCATCATGGTGAAACCCTGACTCTACAAAAAATACAAAAAAAAAAAATAGCTGGGCTTGGTGATGCACACCTGTAGTCCTAGCTACTAGGGAGGCTGAGGTGGGAGGATTTATTGAGTCCGGGAGTTTGAGGCTGTGGCAGGCTATCGTGCCACTGCACTTCAACCTGGGCAACAGAGTGAGACCCTGTCTCAAATAAATAAAAAATAAAATGGCAAGTTTGTAGCTTATCTGACAGAAGAAAAGAGGCAGTCCTTTGTCAATGGAGGTGTCAAATATAAAATTTAGGAAAGGAAGAGGGTAGCCAGTTTGTGGGAAATCACAGAAAACAGAGTATTTACCGCTACAAAAATAAAAAAAACGTTGACAAAGAGGTTCGGAGGAGATGCTGTCCCAACTCTCTCATTCATATGAGTTTTCTGGTTAATTTAAGGCACATATTTCCAAGGTGTTCATTGAGCAGCAAAACTTTGCCACTTTCAAGATGCTGACGTAAAGAGAAAAACAGGTGGTCATGTAAAATTTACATTGATCTGGTCATAAATGCCTAAATGGCAATTCCTTGGAGTTCATATTTTCTTTCTCTCTTGGGTCAACTTGAAATTAAGATACTCTATTTTGTTTCTTTATGGTGTAAAACTATCCAGAAATGAATATCCTGGGACTCTTTCAAGCCAATAGCAAACAGGGAAGTAAATCCATTCAATGATACATTTCCTAAAGCCACACAACTACAACCATCTGATTTTTGACAAAGTTGGCAAAAATAAGCAGTAGAGAAAGGATACTCTATTTAATACACGGTGCTAGGATAACTGGCTAGCCATATGTAGAAGAATGAAACTGGACTCTACCATTACCACACACAAAAATTAACTCAAGATGAATTAAATATTTAAAGGTAAGACCTCAAACTATTAATATAAGAACCCTAGAAAGAAACCTAGAAAATATGGACTTTTCAGACATTGACTTTCACAGAGAATGTAAGGTCCTCAAGAGCAATTGCAACAGAAACAAAAATTGACAACTGGGACCTAATTAAACCAAAGAGCTCCTGCACAGCAAACAAAACTATCAACAGAGTAAACAGACAACCTACAGAATAAGAGAAAATATTTGCAAGCTATGAATCCAATGAAAGAAGGTCTGATATCCAGAATCTATGATGAACTTAAACAATTCAACAAGTTAAACATCTATAACCCCTGAGCAGTGAGACTTGCAGACAGGGGCAGCTTGGTGACCTGGAATCAGTCTGCATATACTATTCTTGGGTGTCCCACCCTACTTCTCTGAGGCTATGGTGCAGTGGGGCCTTCTCTGCTCCATCCCCAAGTAGTAATTCAGGCATTTGGAGCACCCACTTGCCTGGACTGGGAACCTGAGCTGCCCCACCCTTGATGGACATAGATTGTGGTGAAGTGGGTCCCTCTCTGTTCCACCCCCAGGCAGAAATCCAGGCATCTGGAGCACCCATTCACCTGTCAACAGCCTGAACCACCCCACCCTTCCTAGACATAAAACGTGATGCAGCAGGACCCTCTTTGTTTCATGCCAAGGCAGATCTCCAGACATTTAGAGCACTTGCTTGCATGCATCAGCAGCCTGAGTCACCCCAAACTTCTTGTGCAGAGATCTTGGTGCAGAGGGGCCCTCTCCATTCCATACCCAGGCAGATCTCCAGGTACTTGGAGCAACAGCTTGGCTGGATCAGTAGCCTGAGCTGCCCCATCCTTCCTGTGCAGAGATCCTGGTGCAGGGGGGCTCCAGGCAGATGTCCAGACATTTGGAGCACCGCTTATTTGGTTCAGCAGCCCGAACTGCCCCACTCTTCTTGGATATAGATTGTGGTACAGCAATGCCCTCTTGGCTCCATGCCCCGGCAAATCTCTAAGCATTCAGAAAACCAGCTCACTTAAGTCACCCCACCCTTCTTGTGCAGAGATCTTGGTGTAGGAGGGACCTCTCTGCTTCACGCTCAGGAAGATCTCCAAGTATTTGGAGCACCTATTCACTTGGATCAGCAGCCTGACCTGCCCCATTCTTTCTGTTCAGAGATCCAGATATGGGGAGGCCCTTTCTGCTTCATGCTCAGGCAGATCTCCAGGCATTCAGAGGACTCATTTATTTGGATCAACAGCCAGAACTGCCCTACCTTTGCTGGACATAGATCATGGTGCAGCAAGTCCCTCTCCATTCCATGGCCAGGCACATCTCCAGGCATTCCGAGTACCCACTATTTTGGATTGAGAGTTTAGGCCACCTCTCATCTCTGTTCAGAGAATGTGGGCCAAGGAGGTTTTCCAGCTCCACACTTGGGCACATTTCTGAGCACTAGGCCATTTGCCATGTTCTTCCTAGGTGCTGGTGCTTGTGCTTGCCATCAGGGGATCCTGTAGGCAGACCTGCCTCATAAAGCCCCTCCCATAGTGACCCTCTTCCCACAGAGGGAGCAGGGGGCTCATACCACTGTGCACTCCATGAATCAGCCCATTGCCTGAGGCAACTGATAGCTTCTCCCGTAAACAAAGATAAAATATATACCCAGCCATGTTGGCTGCATTCAACTCTTACCTGTAAGTGCCATCTACTGTCTTGTAGGTCAAACTGCATGGCCCAATATAAAGCCTGCCAACAGAAGTGCATAGGGCTATAGAAAGAAAGCCAAAACACCCTATCCACATTTTCTACAGTCACACTACCTGGGTGGAGGTGGTGGGGAACATGGGAAAGAATATATATGTATGATATAGATCTCATATATATATGATCTAGATCATATATAGATCTATATATGATCTAGATCATATATATGATATATATGATATATATGATATATATGATATGATATATATGATATAGATCATATATATGATATATATGATATAGATCATATATATGATATATATGATATAGATCATATATATGATATATATGATATTATATATGATATGTATTATATGATATATATGTGATTGATATATATATGATATATGTGATATAACTGTCATATATATTACATATATACATATTACACATAACATATATATATTACATATATGAGAATATATACGTAGTAGGGAAAGAAAGAGACAAAAATTCTAATTGCATGAAAATAATTAAAAGAAAAGAAGTGTCTGCATCTCAAGAGAAGAAGGAACCAATGCAAGAATTCTGGCACCATGAAAAATCTGAATGTGGTGACACCACCAAAGGATCACACTAGCTCTCCAGCAATGGTCCCTAACCAAAATGGAAACTCAGAAATGACATAAATAATTCAAAGCATGGATTGCAAGGGAGCTCCATGAAATTCAAGACAATCCATGAAATGAAGGAAGAGATAAACATCTTAAAAAGAAATCAACAAAATCCTCTGGAATTGAAAAAATTTGCTTAAGGAGTTTCAAAATACAATTGAAAGCTTTATCAATAGCCTGGACCAAACAGAATAAATAATTTCAGAGCTTTATGATGAGTCTTTCAAACTAACCCAGTCAGACAAAAATAAGGAGAATATTAAAAAAATGAACAAAGTCTTTGAGAAATATGGGATTATATAAAGTGACCAAACCTATAAATTATTGGCATTCCTGAGAAAGAAGGACAAAAATGAAAAACCTGTAAAACATATTTGAGGAAATAATTCAGGAAAATTTTCTAAATCTTGCTAGAGAGGTAGACATTCAGATCAAAAAAATCTAGAGCACACATGTGAGATACTTTACAAAATGAACCTCACCAAGGCACATAGTCACCAGACTATCCAAGGGCAATACTGTGGAAAAAATCTTAAAGGCAGCCAGAGAAAAAGTTAGATTACATACAAAGGGAACCCCATCAAGCTAACAGTGGACTTCACAGCAGAAACCTTATATGCCAGGAGAGATTGGGGGCCTGTTTTTGGCAGTTTTAGAGAAAAGAAATTCTAACTTATTATTTTATATCCTGCAAAACTAACCTCATAAGTGAAGGAGAAATATTTACCAGACAAGCATGTTCTAAGAGAATCTGTTACTAGACCAACCTTAGAAGAGATCCTTAAAGGAGTTCTATACATGAAATTGAAAGAATATCTGCTACCACAAAAACACACTTAATTATATAGCCCACCGACCCAATAAAACAACCACACAATTAAAAACTACAAAGAAATGAGCTAACAACTTCACAATAGGATCAAAACCTCATATATCAATATTAGCCTTGAATGTGAATGACTTACATACCCTACTTAAAAGGCACAGAGTGGCAAGTTGGATAAAAACACAAGATCCATCCATCTGCTGTCTTCAAAAGACCCATCTCACACATAAAAACACACACAGATTCAAATCAAAGTGTTGAAGAAAGATATATCACACAAACAGACAAGAAAAAAGAGCAGGGGTCACTATCCTTATATCAGATAAAACAGACTTTAAACTCACAGTAAAAAAGGATAATAATGATAAAAGGCTCAATTCAACAAGAAGACATAATTATCCTAAATATATATGCACCCAACATTGGAGCACCCAGATTCATAAAACAAGTAGTTATAGACCTAAGAAAAGACTTAGAAAGCCACACAATAATAGGGGAGGACTTCAACACCCCACTGACAGTGTTAGATCATTGAGGCAGAAAACTAAGAAATTCTGGTCTTAAATTTGACACTTAGCTAATTGGACATAATAGACATCTACAGACTACTCCACCCATCAAAAACAGAATATACATTCTTCTCATCTGCACACCGAACATACTCCAAGATCGACCACATGCTTGCTTGTAAAGAAAGTCTCAATATACTGAAAAAAAAATTATACCAACCATTCTCTTCAACCACAGTGAAATAAAAATAAAAATCAATTCCAGGAAGATCTCCCCAAACCACACAATTGCAGGAAAATTAAACAACTTGTTCCTGAATGACTTTTGGGTAAACAAAAAATTAAGGCAGAAATAAAATAAATTCTATAAAATAAATGAAAACAGAGATACAACATGCCAAAATCTCCGGAATGCCATGGGAATACCAAGATGAATCATGTACAAATCTTTTTCTCATGAGACTTTCATGAGTTGACAAGTTAAGGCAAAGACAACCAGGAGGTAATTAGGTACAGCAGGTCCTTGAATAACATTGTTTCACTCAACATGACTTTGCTATAACATTGATGAGAAGAAAAAAAATTGGCTGGAGCCACTATCTATATAGAGTTTGCATGTTCTCTCCATATCTATGTGGGTTTTCTCCAGGTTCTTCGGTTTCTTGCCACATCCCAAAGATGTGGCAATTAACGTTAGGTTAATTGGTGTGTTTAAGCTTTCCCAGTCTGAGTGTTAGGGTGTATGTGAGTGTGCCCTGCAATTGGATGGTGTCCTGTCCAGGGTTGGTGCCCACCTTGTGCCCTGAGCTGCCAGCATAAGGTCCAACCACCTGTGATCCTGAACTGGAATAAGCAAGGAAATAATTATCTTACTTGTTTTTATTAATTAATTTGTTTTAAATGTTTGTATAGCCCACATTTATTTCAATGTTTAATTTTAGAAGAGTTTTGGTGGATGGAACTGGAAATCATATGTAAGAGGAAATAAGCCAGCCAAAGAAAGATCAGTGTCACATGTTCTTATCCATATGTGGTAGCTAAAAATGTTGATCTCATGGAGGTAGAGAGTATAATGATGGTTACCAGAGGCTGGGAAAAGAAGAGGTTGGGAGAGGGATGAGGATAGTTTGGCTAATGGGTACAAATATACAATTTGATAGAAGGTGTATGTTCTAGTGTCAATTGCATGGTAGAGTGACTATAGTTAAAAATAATTTGGTGTATATTTCAAAATAGCCAGAAGAGAAGATTTGAAATGTTCCCAATGCAAAGAAATGATAAATGTTTGAGGTGATGAATATCCCAGTTACCCCGATTTTATAATTACACATTGTATATGTGTATCCAAATGTCACATATACCCCATAAAATGTACAATTATTATGTATCAATTTAAAAAGAAGTGGTTTGGGTCTTTATTTAGAAGTTTGGTGATGTTTTTATGATCAGAAATATGCCAGTGCCTGGGCATAGTTAGTGTTTAATAAATGTTTGCAGACTGACTGAATGAATGGGATAAACTGCACTTAACAAGGAGCATAAAGTAAGGGGAAAAGAGACGAAGAACATAAGGTAGGAAATATGGCCTTTTTGTGGTATCCCAACATTCATATTTAGATTTTATTCTCAAGGATATAGAGAGCCATTAAATATATTTTTTAATTATGTTATTTATCTAAGAGCAAATGCATACCATGACTTTAAACTATCTGCTTTACATAATGGGAGTGTGCACATAGATAAAACTGGAAAAATTGACAGTAAGGGAAAGAAGTTTCCTGTCTGATGGATAAAGTATAAAATAATCATACAAAGAATTATCTCCAATCAATCATCACCTTCTGTAGAAGAGGGAATCCTGGGCAGTAGTCTTAAAATATTCTTCTTCTACAGGCAAGCATATTCCTATTATTGAGGCTGACTTGATTTAACGTCTTGAACGTTCATGGTGTAGACTTTCATTGATCGTGTTTATTTGTCTGTGTCTGCCTAGTGGAATACACATTTCTTGAGGTCAGGGAACAGGTCTTATTTGACTTGGTATCTTATATGTCTTTACATACTTGATGTTCAAAATCTGTACAATAACTGAGGAATAGGCTCCCCATAATCCAACTTTCTGATGCCCTGTGAAATAGAGAGATTTACTAAAAGACTACTCATCCTACCAAGAAAAGAAATTGTTTCTATGTGTTAGTCTCGGTGAACTTTCTTGATCTGTATTGTCCCATAATAGGTATATCCATTCTCCCCTTGCTGACAGACTCAAGTTTCTGGGCTTGCACAAGTCAGAGAAGCAGGCCCTGCACTAGAACCATTTTGTAAGGTAAATGCCATCTTCCGTGAGAGTGAGCAGTCCTCAAGAGTGAGTGACACCTTGATCTCATCACACCTGCCTTTCCAAAGGGTTCAAATTAGAAATATTGATCATTTTTCTTATGTTAAGAAAAGAATAATAAGCCAAAGTACCTGAGTTCCAGAAGGAAAAATTTAGGCTAAATGGAAAAAAGAATCTTTTAACATTTGCCATACTTAAAAAAAAATCATAGTCTGAGCTTTGCTTTATATGATGTTCAGACATTGTCCTTTGGCCTGTAAGGATTTGAGTAACCTAAATAGCCAGAGAGCCATGGTCCGTGTTTGCTCTTCAATTCCATGACTCAGTAGGTTTTTTTCATACCTAATTTGTTTTTCATGCTTTATCAAAGAATGAAGGCAAACTTTACAAATGCATTAATGGTGAAATAGATGATAACTTTAGTACAGGCCCCATTAGCCATGTCAGTACAAGTTCAAACACTGAGGAAAGAGAACATTTTATTAAATATCACCCGAAGACAGCAGAATAGAAAACAGCCAAAAAGAAAAATGGTCACTAAAAAATTTAGTGCTGAGGAACACACACTATATTTTTCACCATTTGCCATATTTACTGAAAAATCAATGGCAGATCTCCTGTAGTGTGACTGTGGTGTGACAAACTCTTATTATAGGTTAACATCCTATTACACCAGTTCATTTGTGTAAAACTTTCTGCTGGAGTGGCAAATATTAATAGCAACGTCAGATAAGAAACAAAAGCTAGAGTCTTCCAGGTATAAGAGGGAAAGGGGCATCTCCGAGAACGGTGATATGTAATTTTTGTTTTTATTTTTGTATAAATTGTTATTCTCAGCAAAAGATTTAAGATTACTCAACAAAATACACAGAATCCAATAAGACAGAATCAACATTTAAAATAGATGAAGGAAAGGGGCAAGAAAATTAGAATACTAATAAAAAGTTGGGCTTGAGAGTAATCTGTGCGCATCAAATGTTGGGAGTTTTCATTCTTGAGTGAACTGAGCCATGGATGTGACACTGAAGTTTTGAGCAGCCAACTTAAAGTTGACCTGATCAGCTTTATGATTCACAGTGTTTAAATAGATAAAAACCAAAACAGGTCATTGCTCATAAATATTCTAATTTTTCCCATTCTATGCCCAGATATAAATTTATCTCATGGATTCTGAGAGAGAGAGAGAGCACGTTGAAACATGGGAAACAATATTCTAACAGTGCTTTCACAATGAGCTTACATATAATTTTCTACTACATAGCCTGATAGAATTATACCCCAAAGCAATGAAGTAATAAATCTTTGGGGAACTAATAGAATGTGTTTGAGGGGTGATGTTTCCCACCATAGTGGCATAATGAAAGACAGATTTTAAAGTATAACATGGACTAGATAAGCTCTATATTCTCTTTAGGCTATTTAAATTCTCTCATTCTCTCTTATTTTTTTCTTTTAAACTTGAGATTTTTAGGTACCTGGACAAGGTAGCTGGCCTATGGCCAAGCCATAGGCTTCAATATTTAGTCCTGCTGGGAGTGAAATTAACATACTTCCATGAATATTGAGGCGCCTGACAAGAACACCTAGAAGGCCATTCTGCATTCCACAGAAGTGACCTCAGGATGGCCAAAATTTCCCTCAGTCTCTTCCAGGTTATGGAAAAGGCTCTTCTTGGCCATGATGTTCAGAGGGAACCAAATTAACTTGACGGTATCATGTCATGGAATAAATAAAAACTAATTCATGTTCTCAAATTTTTCAGTGTGACTCCACAAAGTGAATCAAATGGAAATAGCTTCCATCTCTGAAATTTGAGATTGAAAATTGATAGCACAAACTTATCTAAGAAATGTAGAATTTCAGAAATTAAGAACCATGGAAATAAAAAGATCAGGGGAAGAAAATATATCCAAGCCTCCATTGCCATTCATTCTTCCTTTATGTATCTGTTCTGCATTCCTCAGATCCTCAGATTTGTCCGCCTTGCCTCACCCTCTAAACGGGCACCTGATGATGGAATGACTCCGCTGGATTTGTCTTTCCAGCAATTAGAACGAATCTCATGATAGGCAAGTCAATACTGGTTGAATAAATTAATGTTGCTTTTTTTTTTAGCCCCTTCTATATAAGTAAAAATCACGTTGCTAGTTTAGGAATAACTAGAAGTTTTATTCTTAAATTGGTTAACAAATGAAATATTGATGTTGCATTATGAATTTAAGATTGAGATAAGGAAGGAATAAAAATTGGGGAGATACTTGAGGAAAATAGTGTAAAAGTTGACAGAAAAAAAGCTTGACAGTACATTTTTCTATTTTTGCTAATTATTTTTCATATACTTGAAACCAAACAGAAGAAAACAACAACGACAACAACAACTTCTTAGTTGTACTGTTTTACAATATTTGTTCGATATGTGCTATCCATCATTTAATTCTTCGGTGAAGACAATAGTGACAGGGAAATGAATACTTTGCCAAAGATGTGCTTAGGAACTTTGAATATTTGTGCAGGTCCAGGGTTGTCAGTGCTGTTGAGGTTGCAGAGGCAAGAAATGAAGGCTGCAGAGAGTGAAGTGGGGTTTTAAGCTCAATAGGTTACTCTTGGGTCTGGGGCAGAGCCACATTGGGAATTAGGCACATTTGCCCTGATCCTCAGCCGGTAAATGGGTATCCTCCCGACAGTTTCAAAGTGGTTCTGGCTGTGTTTAACTTCTCTCTCTGTGGGGGGCTAATCTCATAAAGATTTCAGCCACACAAGCAACAGTGTCTGGGGCGTAATGATCGCTTTGAAGTTTGTTTGCTCGTCAGTGCATTTAAACAGTTTAAATGTTCCAAGAATAGGATTAGATGCCCCAGTGAATTCATTTCATTTACCCCCAGCAGTGGTTTCCCAATACTATGAGAGGTTTACATGGTATCAATTTAGAGACATGCTGCTTTTGAAGATTTTCCCCTTCACCCTCTCAATTTTCTACCTCTCTTAAGGTCTTGCCTAGAAAAATATTAGGGGTCAGGGCTCAGTAAAAGGGGCATTATGGTTATGCCTTTAGGTCATGCAAAAGACAATTTTCTGAGTTGTCTTCTAAAGTATTGTTAGCTCAATAAGTAGAAAGCAGAAAATCAGAACAAAATGAAGGCCATTTTAGAATTTGTACAAAGATTATACATAAATATTGAACCACTGTACAGCCCAATCTCTGAATTAATCATGCCATTTTAGAATGGAGAATTTTGAATACTGATTGTTGTACTAGCTGTGCAGCAAGTTGATACCAGATTGCTTTGTAGACTTTAACCCTTAGGAACTGCAGTTAGTGTATATTGCCTTCAAACATAACCCAAAAATTGTATTTGAAAATTAAGCAGTGATTTGTAGTGGTCCTTCAATGCCTGACAGTTCTATGCCAAATTCTGCACACTAATTCAACACCAGAAAAGAGATTAAGCTGCTCTGTCTTTGGATATAGAAGGAATAAAGTTGTCCTGAGCTACTGTGTCCACTGAAAATGATCTCTGGGACCAGCAGAAATTAATGTGAAAATAATATTATACATGTGAAAAATTTCCGTGAAGTGAACAAAATCTTTCATTTTGTGTCATTGCAAAATGATACAAGAATATATTACTATTTTTCATTATGTTTACTCTCTCCTAAGTAGCTCAAATGATATATTTTAAAGTAAAATGTTCATATTTACAAAAATTTCGGGATATTAAACAAGTACTTTCCAAATACATTTGACTTAGAGGATTACTGTATTTCTTAGACATTTTTGTTGTCCTTTTTTTCTGAAAAAAATACATGTTCATTTTAGAAAACTTAGAAAAAACAGTTATTAAGAATCAAATGAAAATTATACATAAAATTCAACAATCTTTATGTAACCAATGTTCAAATGTCGAGATTTTCCTTTTTCTTTTTGCTGTGCATATTTTTCAATAATTATAACTATACTATAAATAAATGCTTTCTCGTGTAGACTATATCATGAACATTTTTCTTTCTCATTAAAATTGTTACTGAATGTAATTTTCATGGCTGAAGAATATTTCATTTATGAATATACCTTAATTTATTTCAATGTTTCTGTTTTTGATTAGATATTTAGAATTTTCTTAACATCATGATACATAGTTTCTATTTGTTAGAAATAGTTGTTGGGCTGGATGTGGTGGCTCACACATGTGATCCCAGCACTTTGGGAGACCAAGGCAGGAGGATTGCTTGAAACCAGGAGTTAGAGACCAGGCTGAGCAACAAAGTGAGAGCCCATCTCTACAAAATAAAAACAAAAAATGTAGCTGGGTGTGGTGGCGTGCACCTGTAATCCCAGCTGCTCAGGAGGCTGGGGCAGGAGGATCGTTTGAACCCAGGAGTTTGAACTATGATTGAATCACTATACTCCAGCCTGAGTGACAGAGAAAGACACCGTCTCAAACAACAAGAAAAAAGCAACAGTTACTGGAATCATTGGGCCATAAGTTCTGATTATTTTAAAGATTCTGAATATATCCATATATTCAAATGTTTTTCAGAAATAATCTATACAATCATTAGCGAAGTTAAATGTTTTAAAATATGCTTATTATCTTTTAGATTTTTTTCATGTTCCTTGTCCATACTCCAGTCATTTGAGTATTATTTTGAGGATGTTTGTGTTATTTTTAGAGATTTTTTTTAAAAAACAGCTCATCATGTTGGGGATATTACCTTTCTCTGTATTTGTTATAAATATCTTCCCCCAGGCTGAGAAGTGCTATTTTGTTGCATCTCCTATCACATTCTTACCCTGCTGCTATAGCATCTGAAAAAAGAACCTGTTTAAATGACCTCCTTTAGAACTGTATATTTTTATTAAAATAAGAAACAATTTTGTCCTAAGAATTTATGAGTAATTGTCTCAGTATTGTGGAGAACGGATCCCTAAATTGCTAAAGGTATGATAATAGATATTTTTTAAAAGAACTAGATACATTTCAACTACCTTAGTCTTCCCTAGATGCTCATGCTTCTATTTTCCCTACATGTGCCTCTGCCACACCCCTCCCCCAACCCCATCACCACTTTCTTTCTGTTTTTCCCTGAAGAAGAAAACTTCTTTCTTTAAAGTAGGGTGAGCAATCAATTGATCTTCTCTTCCCACTGTCTGGTTAGATTACCTAGGGACTTGCAGCAGCTCTCTTAGAGTATGGTTTGCTTACCACACACAAAAGGCTTTGCATGCAGAAAATGCTAATATCACTCTGCTTGATCCTATTTTAAGGGACTTGCAGCATCCCATACTTAGTGGTACCATGCATAATCAGCCAGGCAATGTTGCTTGATACTCTTTATTCTGATCTCACTTTGGTTTAGTTTGCCAACAGTGAATTGGCCTAATCTCTCACTGCAGTTATTTTATAATTATCTCAAATGTTTAAGAAATATTCTAGGCATTGACCAGGTTTTAATTTTTCTTGATGACCCAGGGGAACTTAGGTGACATCTGCTTTTGGCCTTGACTTAGTCATTTCTCTTACCCCATAATCAACACCAATTCATGATCAAGATATATTTTATCTTCACTTGAAAGCTGGACATAGTATTTTGCTAGGCATTTATGGAGAATTAATAATCAACATTCTAGAAGATATACCCAGATACCAGACAAGTAGAAATATTTTTGTCTCTCCTGTGGTTATTCTGATGCTTTGTAAAAAAATAATTATAATATGCATATATTTGTATACTTATAGAAATATTTGTAGCTTTGTGTTTTAGTGTGAAAAAGCTCATTCCATGGCATGACCTATGGGAGAGATTATGGAGGTCTTCAACTGTACATGCTATAGGAAAAAACACCACTTAAGCTAGGCTCTGCTTCCTAAACAAGTATTTAATCTCCTCATTAAAGATATATGAAACTAAAAATCAATGAGCTCCGGTGGTTAGAGCATTTTAGTGGAACTAATGGATACACCTTGTCAACATTAGAAACTTCACTTGTGGTTTACAGTTGTACACCAAGAGAAAACATGAATCTAGAAATAAGGTCTCTGGCTAGAGTAATAATTGGGCTGTGAGTTCTGGATAAGCAGGTCTCATAAATAAATAACATATGGAATAGGTATTGCCAATTCACATTCTCTCACATTAAAAAGATATGGTGAACTCTCACTATAAAGCTTAAGATAAAAGACGGCAAACTTCTGCTTGGATACATGCCCTGTCAAGCCTCATTAGAAAGATTCTTTGTGCAAATGTAAACCTCTGACAGGCTGATATCATGAACTATTTAAACTGAAAAATAGTTTACAAGACTTGTTTAGAGATATAAAAACATTTCACTTCACCAAGCAAATACAAGTAAAAATAGTGGTATATTTCCAGCTAAATAATAAATAAAAATTTCCAGCCATTTGAACAAGAACAAACACCTACAACCTGAAATGAATCTCATACAAACCATTTTATAAATAACACTAGATTGTCTTTTATAAATAACACTAGATTATCTCTAAGAAAATCTTACAGCATTGATTACCTACTACTCATTACCTACTCATTTTGCTTCTAGATTTCAAAGTTTTGTTTTCTGTCTACACTCATTCTAGACAATGCAAGTAAACACAATGAACACACAAGATAGATTGCAAGCTCCACAAAGCCAGAAACCATATCTGTCTTCTTTAAAACCTAAAGTGGGGACCACTGTATAGAAAGCACTTAACGTTTTCGTTAAATCAATGAATGAAGCGTAATGAAGGTCGTATATGAATCTTGGCTGGATTGTGAACTAATGCAGCAGTCCACTCTGGCTCATGAGGAGTCAGCAAGAGGCTGTTGTGCATAGTCCCAACTTGGAACCATTGCCAGATCTTTGCTTCATTAATCTTTGTGTAGATTCGTCTCTAGACATGTCATTCATGCTTTTCTAGCTCTTCACTTAGTAGAAATAAAACAGCTAAATGCAAAACTCTATTAAAGTTTCAAGCTAACTAAAGGGACTTGCTTTTAATTCTAAGCACAAGACCAGGTGGCCAGTAAGAATTATAGAACACATGTGTCTTGGGAAATGGAGAAGAGTATCTCATGCAGCCTTTTAGTCCAGAAGATGTTCTTTTTCTCTGGACACTAGGGAAAATTCTATCACTACAGGTGCAGAGAGTAGTAATTACAAGTTTTTCAAAGGCGTTTTTGAGATATCCAAAAGAAATTACCAAAACTTTACCAGTCCCAATGCTACTCAACATATAGAAACATCTAAAACAGAATTATGAAAAAGGAAGAAGAGACTCCACACAATCATAGAATAGACCTATGGCTCTCTGCTATACTGGTGAAGGCTCACACCAAAACCTTAGTGTATAGCTCACCCAAATGCTCCACTTAGTTATCCATCTGTACTTCTCTTCACAATCATTCTGGCTTTTTCTTCTTGAGAATAATAGTAATTTATATACAGTTGATTCCATAATACAGGTTCAGCCCCTTGAAGTGATTTTTATTTTTGTTTTTGTTCTTACAAAATACCAGCTTTATTTGACCAGGATGACTGAACTAGTGGACCCAAATGGTAGTTTTGTCATTATTCTGCTTTCTTATTGGCAATATAGATGAGTATATCCTTAAAAACACAATCCACTTAGAATGAACTTACATCAAACTGCATGTGGTGATGAAACTCCATTCAGAATGATTTATTACAGGGAAACTATCCTGACCATAACCAGCCTCTTGGACTTCTTCAAAAGGTCATCATAAATAGCTGATAAAGCATTGGATCATCTTACAATTTTGGTGGACAAAATTATACTTACATAGCTGAAAGGAGTCATTAATAAATATTTATAAAAATAATATAATGTATATAAATGTAAATACATGTTTACAAATAAATATATCTCTTACTTTACTTTCATGTTGTGGAGTCTAAGAAGAGCAGAAAACATAATCTTCTTGTAAAGAACCTGGCATCTCTACTAAAAAACATACCCAATCTTTTTCTCAATCATAAGGAACTCTGCAAGAAAAGCTTTAGGAAAAAGCTTTTGGCTCCTTTATTAGTGTGGTTCTATTTTTATTTATTTTTTTTTTAGTCTATGTGATTTTACACTAATATTTTAAAAATCATTATGCTTACTAGCGGCTGTTTTTGTTTTACGTATTTTGACCTATTTAATTCTATGTAGTTTATTTGAATAATTTACTCTTAGGAAATTCAAAGCCAAATATATAAAGTAAATATTGTTATGAGGGGATGCTTTTTGGTACTAAAAGAAGATACTATGATTATGGTAAATGATAGCCATGTGGGATGGAAAGAGAAAACAACTCTCCATAATTTTTAAGAGAGGAGTCATAGAAAAGAATGGAAACAGACATTGCTCACCATGAGATATTGAACAATAGTAGCTTTTAAAGTTACTCAGAGTATATAAAGAGTGAGTTTATTGTAAAAATGTAAACACTCATCTCTCGCTTCCCAATCCTGCATCAACAGGACTCCTTGCAATGCCTTGAACCTACAAGCATATTCCTGCCTTTGTACCTACTGTGTACAGATCAAATGTCATCTGATGAGAGAGGCTTTTTCTGATCACTGTGTAAAAAATAGCAAGATCTCTTCCCGGTAGATGTCTTCACCCTGCTTCCTGCTTTATTTCTCTGCATAACACCTGTCAATTATACAACTTTGCTTGATGCACAGCAGGTACTCAAAACATTTTGTTGAATGAATGAAATTATGGACAGATGGAAATGAAAGATTCTTAAAGAAAATTTTATCATTTAGGAAATAAGCATATACTTTATAATGCATTCCCAGTAAGTGAAGTCCCTGTCCACTCATATGTTTTGTTGATGGCTTAACACTCAACCTTCAACAGTGATAATTCACATCATGAAAAATAACGCGTTTTGCTAACAATAACTTGAGATTTTTTCCATAAAACTATCATTCTTCATTAGAAAAAGTAGACATTTTTTGAAAAAGAAAGGGAATCACAACAGTAATGTTACTAGTTAAAAACAAATAGAGAATGGAAACACATCTGAGAGTTGATTACTGTTAAAAAGCGGTGTGTCTCTGCCATAATATCATCATTTTTTTAAAAAAAAATGAAGAAATGTATATGATAGCAATTTTAGAAAATATTGCAAAACACTAAGAACATGTAAATCATGTTTTATTTCATCATCAGAAGTGACATGTTAGTTTGACATATACCTTATCTAAGTGTTTTTAGATGATGCTAAAAAACATTAGTATTACATTTTATGAGTATTTGGAACCTGCTTCTTTTGTCTATTTAATAGTATATCAAAAATATCTTCCCCTATTATTAAATGTTACTCTATAATCATTTTAATAGTTTTATAGTATTTCACTTTATGGGTGAAAATGACTAATTTAGTCATCTCCTATTAACGGACACTTAAGTTGTTTATGATTTTTCAGTCAGAAACAATGTTGGAAAAACATCCATGGAGTAAATCTTCATAACTGTTCATGATTATTTTTTAAAATGCATTTCTACAAGGAGATATTCTAGGCCATAGGAAGTATGCTTTCTCATTTACGTTTACCTTCAAATTATTTTCCAGAGATTATAGCAAACTATTCTTCCAAAAGCAGCGTACAAGAGTGTAAGTATATTAATTTTATATAATGAAAAGGAGAAAAGGTTGATATTTTGACAGCTAGGATAGAAATTTACTTTAGAATAAAATTGCCTTTGTTTGGTAAATTACTTTAATACATGTTTGTGGTAAAAGGTAAGTACTCTGAGGGCTTAGGGGTTATATTGGGTCAATGTTTAAGTGGAGGGGGAATACTGCTTTGTGTGAGACACAGGAGAAAAAAATACATTTTCATCTTGAATCAGGTAAGATGAGTCCTGGACTAGTTGAATGGCCAGTAAAAAAACCCCATGAGTTTGGGAGTTTCACGGGTACATGAATATCATTACTTAAAACAAAATATAACTGTTTAAATTGTTTACATTGCTATTATAGAAGCCCATCTCACATAAAGTTAAATTTACTCTACTTGTGAAAGCTGTGTGCATGGAGTTTTTCACAGAAGTTGAACAGAGGTTAAGTATCATTTTGAGGTCCCTGTTGGGCAGCACTTGAGTTGGTAAACATGGAAACAGGAGCCCAGGGAAAAAGGAGTCATGAAAATCAAGTGCTCAGGAATGTGCTGAAGTCTTGGCAAGGAACTTGTATTTCCGATTTCTTTGGGAGAAGGAAGAGATGGGAATGGTTGAGTAAAGTTCATTAATTTCTTAGAGTCATAGAGGCCCCCAGCTGATATCTGGCTTATATATTAGTAAACTCTTGTTATCATTTTTGAAGATATTTTAACATGAATATTAAAGTTATTATAGGAGACAATATTCAATGCCAGTTTTGTTATTGTTTCTATTAAATCAATAATACTGAGAAGAACAGAACTTATTAAATCATATTTTCTATTGCTTGCAAAGAGATAGACACAAGCATATAGTGAATGTAAGGGCAGATCAGCCTATAAAAGCTTAAGCCTAGGTAGGGTTGCCAGACTTAGAAAATGAAAATATTCCATACTCACATAAAAAAAAAATGTCCATTGTTTCTCTGAAACTCAAATTTAATTGTGTGTCCTGTATTTTATCTGGAAACCTTCACCCTGGATTTCCTGTGGGGATAAAGCAACCATTCAGATAATACATTGAATGGTAACAGTGTGAATTCTCTTTGGGAGGCCAGGGTGAGCAGATCACGAAGTCAGGAGATCAAGGCCATCCTGGCCAACATGGTGAAACCCCGTCTCTACTAAAAAAACAAAAATTAGCTGGGCATGATGGCAGATGCCTGTAATCCCAGCTACTCGGGAGGCTGAGGCAGGATAATTACTTGAACCTGGGAAGCGGAGGTTGCAGTGAGCCAAGATTGCGCCATTGCACTCCAGCCTGGCAACAGAGTGAGACTCCATCTCAAAAACAACAAAAAAACAAAAACAAACAAACAAACAAAAAAGAAAAGAAAAAACAAAAAACAAAACCCACAGAACATCCTAAGTCATAGATTCAAAGTCTTGCAGATGACAGTTCTAGAAGATTAGGTTTCAGTGTAGTAGTTGTCTTTACTAACTAGTTATCTCATGAGGCAAGCAAACTTTCTGTAGCTGCTAAATTGGAAACCACAACAATATGGCCTAGTTCACTGCAGATGGCCAAGACCTCGGGATTATGGGATGTAGCTTCTTTAAACACAGAACTATAAGACTTTGGTTGTACTGATCTCTTGAAATGTAAATTGCTGAACACTCATTGGGTCACTGCATCTACCTGTCTGAAAAACAGGAGAGATGAAAACCTCAGAAATTTCTCTAATATGATTGACATTAGTAACCAAGAAAATCACTTCCCTGGTTTTTCTCAATGCTTAGATCTTTTGCCCTCAATAATAGTAAAGAAAGTAACTGACATTACGTATCATTATTTATTATTTAAAATGAGTTGTCTTGATAAGCCAACTGAAAAACACAATGTTACCAGAGTATACTTTATTAATCTCTATTTCTATTATTTTAATGTAGCCAATTATAGAATTTAGTGCATTGCATTGGTTTTGGATTTAAAGGAACATGGGCCTGAGATCCTAGATTTCCACTTCACCTACTAGAGACCCAACAATTCCGCCCTTTGGTATATACCCAAAGGAAGTGCATGTCTAAGTGTTCTAAAAGACATGTATAAGAATGTTCCCGGCAACTTAATTATCAATGGACAAAAACTAGAAGCAAAATGTCACTCAATAATAATGGATATATATGTATGTCGATAAAGATACTAGAACTATATGAAACTAGAGCTATATGAAACAACATAGATGAATATCACAAAGGCAATATGAAGTGAAAAAAAATCCAGGCACAAAAGAAGATATACTGTATAATTCCGTTTATATAAACTTTGAAAAAAACAAGCAAAAGTAAACTATTGTTTTTGGGGATGCATGCTTAGGTATAAAAATACAAGAAAAGCAATGACCGTAAAACTCAGGACACTGATTGTCTTTGAGAAAAAGGATGTGGTAGTGTTTGGGAAAGGAAACAAGGGTGCACATGTGGAGCACAGACAATGTATTAATTCTCGATGCAGTGCACAGGTGTTTGGTGTATGAAAAATCATTGAGTTGTACATCTTTTCATTGTACAGCTTTTTTTTGTATGTACAGTGTACTTCACAATAAAAAGGTTAAAAAATTAGAACAAAAGCAACTTCAGCCCAGTTGAAATGAAATGATACATAATTTATACGAGAATGAATAAATAGCATTTTCTCACAGTTCTGATCTTGACTGCAAAATTTGCCTTGGCTATCTCCCTAGCATTAAAGAAGTGATATGGTCAGTCACAAAAACAGCATCTTTAGCAGGTTATCTGCTAAAGGATAACCTTTAATTTTAGAGAAAAATAAGAGGCATATTACTGAAGATATTATAAAGTTTGTTCATAGTTGGCTTTAAAGTATCTCTCCAGGATTCTGCTTGGGATTCTTCCAGAATAATAAAACTGAATGTGTTGCATAGAACTATTATTTAGCAATTGAGTTTTATAAAGGCACCTCAGTCTAGATTGTTATTCAATATTGTTAGGAATATATAAGCCTATGTGCTGTTGATCAAAATGTATTAATATTAGACGGTTTGTGACATTAAGCTATTAATTTTAGCAGATATACTTAGAAACTTAAAATTATAAATCTAGTTCCCTTTTTCTGATAGGAGTAGTCAAACATGTGAAAAGCCTACCAAAATCACTGAACTGGGTTGAAGCTCTAGATCCGTAAATGCTTGTATGAGCATGCATGCCTTTGATTTTTTCCTCCTGTCTTTGTAATCAGGACAAGGCCATCCACAGATTGGCTCAGGCCTTTGATGCAAACTCCACTGCCAAGATAGTGGTAGTGCCTCACTCAAGCATTTGGACTGAGAGTGGGAGACTAGCGGGGCAAAAATTAAATCCAGGCTATTGCCCGTAAAAGAGGTAATGGATGCCCACCACACTTCTAGACTGGCCTTCCGTTTTCTCTAACATGTATCCTTTAAAATGTCAGAGAACTCTGGTCTCTTATAGGTTGAAATAGTCTACTTTCAAATTATTTATGTATAAGTATATTCATGAGCTAACAACACAGTCTCCTTGTCTACCAGCTCTTTGTGTAAATGGCTCTGAGGGTGAGATGTTATCATTAACCCCCCTTGTACTGAAGTCTAAGCTGATATACTTTGATGAAGGAAGACAATCTTTTTTTTTAAATTATACTTTAAGTTCTAGGGTACATGTGCACAACATGCAGGTTTGTTACATATGTATACATGTGCCATGTTGGTGTGCTGCACCCATTAACTCGTCATTTACATTAGGTATATCTCCTAATGCTATCACTCCCCCCTCCCCCCACCCCACAACAGGCCCCGGTGTGTGATGTCCCCCACCCTGTGTCCAAGTGTTCTCATTGTTCAATTCCCACCTATGAGTGAGAACATGCGATGTTTGGTTTTTTGTCCTTGTGATAGTTTGCTGAGAATGATGGTTTCCAGCTTCATCCATGTCCCTACAAAGGACATGAACTCATCATTTTTTATGGCTGCATAGTATTCCATGGTGTGTATGTGCCACATTTTCTTAATCCAGTTTATCATTGTTGGGCATTTGGGTTGGTTCCAGGTCTTTGCTATTGTGAATAGTGCTGCAATAAACATACGTGTGCATGTGTCTTTATAGCAGCATGATTTATAATCCTTTGGGTATATACCCAGGAATGGGATGGCTGGGTCAAATGGTATTTCTAGTTCTAGATCCCTGAGGAATTGCCACACTGTCTTCCACAATGGCTGATCCAGTTTACAGTCCCACCAACAGTGTAAAAGTGTTCCTATTTCTCCACATCCTCTCCAGCAGCTGTTGTTTCCTGACTTTTTAGTGATGGCCATTCTAACTGGTGTCAGATGGTATCTCATCACGGTTTTGATTTGCATTTCTCTGATGGCCAGTGATGATGAGCATTTTTTCATGTGTCTGTTGGCTGCATAAATGTCTTCTTTTGAGAAGTGTCTGTTCATATCCTTCACCCACTTGTTGATGGGGTTGTTTGTTTTTTTCTTGTAAATTTGTTTGAGTTCTTTGTAGATTCTGGATATTAGCACTTTGTCAGATGAGTAGATTGCAAAAATTTTCTCCCATTCTGTAGGTTTCCTGTTCACTCTGATGGTAGTTTCTTTTGCTGTGCAGAAGCTCTTTAGCTTAATTAGATCCCATTTGTCAATTTTGGCTTTTGTTGCCATTGCTTTTGGTGTTTTAGACATGAAGTCCTTGCCCATGCCTATGTCCTGAATGGTATTGCCTAGGTTTTCTTCTAGGGTTTTTATGGTTTTGCGTCTAACATTTAAGTCTTTAATCCATCTTGAATTAATTTTTGTATAAGGTGTAAGGAAGGGATCCAGTTTCAGCTTTCTACATATGGCTAGCCAGTTTTCCCAGCACCATTTGTTAAATACAGAATCCTTTCCCCATTTCTTGTTTTTGTCAGGTTTGTCAAAGATCAGATAGTTGTAGATGTGTGGTATTATTTCTGAGGGCTCTGTTCTGTTCCGTTGGTCTATATCTCTGTTTTGGTACCAGTAGCATGCTGTTTTGGTTACTGTAGCCTTGTAGCATAGTTTGAATCAGGTAGCATGATGCCTCCAGCTTTGTTCTTTTGGCTTAGGATTGACTTGGCAATGAGGGCTCTTTTTTGGTTCCATATGAACTTTAAAGTAGTTTTTTCCAATTCTGTGAAGAAAGTCATTGGTAGCTTGATGGGGATGGCACTGAATCTATAAATTACCTTGGGCAGTATGGCCATTTTCACAATATTGATTCTTCCTACCCATGAGAATGGAATGTTCTTCCATTTGTATCCTCTTTTATTTCGTTGAGCAGTGGTTTGTAGTTCTCCTTGAAGAGGTCCTTCACATCCCTTGTAAGTTGGATTCCTAGGTATTTTATTCCTCTTGAAGCAATTGTGAATGGGAGTTCACTCATGATTTGGCTTTCTGTTTGTCTGTTATTGGTGTATAAGAATGTTTGTGATTTTTGTACATTGATTTTGTATCCTGAGACTTTGCTGAAGCTGCCTATCAGCTTAAGGAGATTTTGGGCTGAGACGATGGGGTTTTCTAGGTATACAATCATGTCATCTGCAAACAGGGACAATTTGACTTCCTCTTTTCCTAATTGAATACACTTTATTTCCTCCTCCTGCCTGATTGCCCTGGCCAGAACTTCCAACACTATGTTGAATAGGAGTGGTGAGAGAGGGCATCCCTGTCTTGTGCCAGTTTTCAAAGGGAATGCTTCCAGTTTTTGCCCATTCAGTATGATATTGGCTGTGGGTTTGTCATAAATAGCTCTTATTATTTTGAGATACGTCCCATCAATACCTAATTTATTGAGAGTTTTTAGCACGAAGGGCTGTTGAATTTTGTCAAAGGCCTTTTCTGCATCTATTGAGATAATCATGTGGTTTTTATCACTGGTTCTGTTTATATGCTGGATTACATTTATTGATTTTTGTGTGTTGAACCAGCCTTACATCCCAGGGATGAAGCCCACTTGATCATGGTGGGTAAGCTTTTTGATGTGCTGCTGGATTCGGTTTGCCAGTATTTTATTGAGGATTTTTGCGTCGATGTTCATGAGGGATATTGGTCTAAAATTCCCTTTTTTTGTTGTGTCTCTGCCAGGCTTTGGTATCAGGATGATGCTGGCCTCATAAAATGAGTTAGTGAGGATTCCCTCTTTTTCTATTGATTGGAATAGTTTCAGAAGGAATGGTACCAGCTCCTCCTTGTACCTCTGGTAGAATTCAGCTGTGAATCCATCTGGTCCTGGACTTTTTTTGGTTGGTAAGCTATTTATTATTGCCTCAATTTCAGAGCCTGTTATTGGTCTATTCAGAGATTCAGCTTCTTCCTGGTTTAGTCTTGGGAGAGTGTATGTGTTGAGGAATTTATCCATTTCTTCTAAATTTTCTACTTTATTTTCATAGAGGTGTTTATAGTATTCTCTGATGGTAGTTTGTATTTCTGTGGGATCGGTGGTGACATCCCCTTTATCATTTTTTATCGCGTCTGTTTGATTCTTCTCTCTTTTCTTCTTTATTAGTCTTGCTAGCGGTCTATTAATTTTGCTGATCTTTTCAAAAAACCAGCTCCTGGATTCATTGATTTTTTGAAGGGTTTTTTTGTGTCTCTATCTCCTTCAGTTCTGCTCTGATCTTAGCTATTTCTTGCCTTCTGCTAGCTTTTGAATGTGTTTGCTGTTGCTTCTCTGGTTCTTTTAATTGTGATGTTGGGGTGTCAATTTTAGATCTTTCCTGCTTTCTCTTGTGGGCATTTAGTGCTATAAATTTCCCTCTGCACACTGCTTTGAATGTGTCCCAGAGATTCTGGTATGTTGTGTCTTTGTTCTCATTGGTTTCAAAGAACATCTTTATTTCTGCCTTCATTTCATTATGCACCCAGTAGTCATTCAGGAGCAGGTTGTTCAGTTTCCATGTAGTTGAGAGGTTTTGAGTGAGATTCTTAATCCTGAGTTCTAGTTTGATTGCACTGTGGTCTGAGAGACAGTTTGTTATAATTTCTCTTCTTTTACATTTGCTGAGGAGTTCTTTACTTCCAACTATGTGGTCAATTTTGGAATAAGTGCAGTGTGGTGCTGAGAAGAATGTATATTCTGTTGATTTGGGGTGGAGAGTTCTGTAGATGTCTATTAGGTCCGCTTTGTGCTGCAATCCTAGTCTCTGATAAAACAGACTTTAAACCAACAAAGATCTAAAGAGACAAAGAAGGCCATTACATAATGGTAAAGGGATCAATTCAACAAGAAGAGCTACCTATCTTAAATATATATGCACCCAATACAGGAGCACCCAGATTCATAAAGCAAGTCCTTAGAGACCTACAAAGAGACTTAGACTCCCACACAATAATAATGGGAGACTTTAACACCCCACTGTCAGCATCAGACAGATCAACGAGACAGAAAGTTAACAAGGATATCCAGGAATTGAACTCAGCTCTGCACCAAGATGAAGGAAGACAATCTAAATGGAATGAATCTAAATGAACAGGAGGAGGCACATTTGGTCTCAGACTGGTCAAACGAAGCAACACCATTACCTCTGATTTCAGCATTTTTTTCTTCAACTCTTACTCTGGCTGTATTGTGTTGGAAAGATGTGAATGACAATACAAAGGTCAAAAAGGCACTCAAGTTCCAATACATCAGACAATAAGGATACAAACAAAGCTCCTTTTACAGGCTTCCAGTGACGCATGAAGAAACCCATTATTGGGCCATTTGTATGTTTTCTCTAAAATGGCAACCCTTGGCAGTGATGCCACAGTAATGATATGTTACAATGCCCTGCAAAGAGCTCATGCAGGAAAAGGCTGTGGGAGCTCAGCCTCCTTCCTGCTATGGAGAAAGGTCAAACTCCTGTCACTCTTGCTGACACAGCACAAGTACTAATCTCTGCACCTTGTAGTCAACCAGAAATGGAGTGGGCACATTAGACAGCTTGTTCAGGGTTCCTGACTGTTCTCACTGTGAATTAACTCAGTGCTACACATGCACAAGCAAAATCCCAGTTTAGACTTTCTTGCCTAAAGGACTTAGGCCTGCCATTACTTCTAAAATTATAGCCAAATGGCTATGATTTAGCAGCTACCAGAGAAAAAGACTATTTTGTTGAGGCATTTTGGCTTCATTCTGCACTGTCAGGATGTTGCTGAAGGCCATGTTAGAAAGACAGAAAAGAGATGAGATAAGAGAAAACAAATCTTACTGGAAGTGTTATCAGAGCTTCTACATTGCTGAGCAATTTACAGTTATTGACTCTTCACGTGACAATAATTATGGGAATATCAAATTAGATTCAACTGTGTATCATGTTTTTCTCTTTGATGTTGACTTGGGGATACTTCTAAGAATTATATATAGTCATGGGGAACAGAAAAGTAGTTTTTCTGTAAGAATTTTATTCTTTAGAGTGAACCACCACTTTAGAGAAATGAATTATAATGTTTATTTAAAATACATTCTCAGGGTTTTCTAAATTACAAATTATATTTGTTTTAAGATTTTTTATGTACTTATCAGTATTCATGTAAAATTTCAGTATTTTTCTACTTTGTAACAGAAACAGTCAGCATTTTCCCTTTTTTTATATCTTGGTCCTCAATTTTTATTGTATATATTGCCCCTCTAAAGAAATCATAAACAACTTCGTGGGAGTATATTTCTATATGGTTATCAATTCTGGAACTTGTGATGCCATTTTACTTTTAGTAATATTTATTGTTCTATTTCATTCTTTCATAGTTTAGGGGGAAATTATAAATATAACAGTGTTATAAGATTTTCTTTCCTACTTTGCTTTTCTCTTACTTTAGTTATCTCTGTCCAAAACTTATTGGTGGCATATTATATAGCCATTGAAATCTGTGTTATGATTTTCCTTGGCAACGTATTCCAATGCTCCACAATAGTACGGATAAAAAATGTTGCAGTTCATCATTATTATTATATCTGGATTGCACAATGTTGAATCTTTATTTTGAAGCTTGGTTTAACATCCATCAATAAGTGTAAGTCTTCGAGTTGCCCAGGAAAGTAGAGTATAAGAGGAGCAGATACTATGAAGGAGAGACTAGGACTGGTTCATGGTGAAAAAGTAGAAGGTATTCTTTTAAAATCTATCAACTCTTGGGTAAGGCTTGGAAAAGGAGTAATCTAGATTTTAGTCCCTGTTACTGAGCCCTATAATTTAACTGATTTTAGTATTTTTCAATAATTAAAAGAGCTTTGAAAGAGTAACAGTGAAATCACAAATGTCCCAGTAAAGGATAACAGAGAGTGGGGAAGGTGGGGGGCGGGGGAGAGAGAGAGTGAGGGGGTGTGGAGAGAGAGAGAGAGAGAGAGAGAAACATATTCAATCCACTGTTTCTCTTTTTCTTGTCATTTCTTGGTGTCTACATGGTTTTATCATACTTGCTGCTTGGTGGTGGTCAGCTTTTTTTTTTTTTTTTTAATCTCTGTGAGACTCTAAAAAGAAACCTTTATAAAGCTGTAAGCCACTTGAGAAACTTATGCTCTATTACATTTAATCTGGGAAGTACTTTGAGGAAGCTATGAGTATTTTGCTTTTTGCCCTCTGTCTTTAGGGGCAATGTAATAAAATAGCTGTAATAATAAGGAAAGGAAATGGGGAAGAAATCATGTGACCAAATGACTTATGGAGAAGCATGTTCCCCTGGTGTTCCCATTCATTTATCTCTACTGTATAATGCATTTTTCTTGTTTTACTGGGTAATTAAACCTTCAACACTCCCAAGTTTGTGAGGAATCTGAATCCCATTATGGGGAGATGCCTGAGTTTGATTCCCTTGTATTATTATCAGAGGCTGGTCTGTTTCAAAGGAAATGCTTTTGATAATATTTGGAGAGGTCTCTAAGGAGAGTACCTACTCTTGGCAAGTTAAGCACTGTCACATGTCTTGGCAGGGTTTGCTGAACTTTTAGGTTAACTCCTACAGCTGTTTCTACCCTTCCCACCTAAATTTTGTTTTAAACTTATTGCCTTGTCTGCTTCTTAATAGGGCAGGATCGTTTTTCAGAGGTAGAGTATTCTTTTCTTTCAAGTTACATTTTTATGAAAAGGAAAAAAAGAAGAATCCACATCAAAGCCCTTATGGGAGAGAACACAGGTTTTCTGCATGTGTCTCCTCTAGTGTAACAGTAGTCTGATACCAATCCAAGAGACGAATTACTTAAAAGTTACACTTTCTATTCTGACCCTTTGGTTTTAAAGCCAACTTTTGTGTCATATGTCTTTAATCTGAAATGCACAGCAAGGATCATAATTTACATTTATTTGTTGTCAGATCGAGGTAAGAGGAAGCTACAAACTTCTGTTTCGAATGTTGCCTTTCTTTTGGACACATAGTTCTTGCATCTTTCCCCAACCCCTAACCCTTTTTTTCGATAATGAATAAGCAAAGTAGTTCTAAAGTTGTTTTTTTTTCCTGGAAAAATCGTATCAGTGGTCAACTATGTATCTGACCTAAGAATGTACTCTATCTGGAAAGTAGGAGACGAGGCAACTTCACAATGGGCCAGTCTTGAATAAGAGCTTTATTGATGCTTCCAGAAACAGAAGATGCAATTTGAAAGGCTGAATAGTCTTTTTGCTTCCTTAAGGAAGGTGTTTAAATCTTGAAGTAAGTTTTTTTTTTAAAAGAAATCACTAACTTACCTGAGTTTTCAAAAATATATTGAAATTGGAAAAAAATAAATAATCTAGCTAGAAGAAATAATTAGGCACTGTCATATTATGGGATCTTAGAGCAATGTGATATTTTTATTAGTGTTAAATGATTTTATAGGTAATAACAAGACTGAATGAGAAGTAAAATTCATATTCCTTATCTTTTTTACTGAAAAATCTTTGTGCAACATTTTAGTTTTTAATATATTTCTCTGGAAAGGAACAATATTAAACGACTAAGAAAATGTAGGGTTTTTTTTTTTTCTTTTAACAGTAGGCATTGTGGTTTAATAGAAAAATGTCATTTGATTATTTGGGTGACCTGGATTATAGTGGGGCATTGTTATGAGCTGTGAACATGGATCGTGCACTGAACTTCTAAGTCTCAATGTCCATCTCTAATAGTGGTCACTTTAGGCTCTAATGTTCTATCATTCTATAAATACCTATTTTCTGATTATAAATTTTTGCTGGAAACCTCATTGACCTGGCTTGTATTGCTATCATTATCCTGATTCCAGTACCCCTTCCTCCATATCTGGAGCCTGGACTGCATATTTTAACACCAAGCATAATTTACTCCATTTCTCTCGCCCCAAATAAAAGAAAGAAATTTTCTGCAAGAGCACTAACAGCTCAGAAACCAGATGTGGTTTGTGTAGGTATTCATTATGAATTTGCAGCAAATTATTATAGAGACAGCCAAACCCAAAGGCACACTTTAGAAGAGAGTAATAGGGACAGAGATTTAAGTGATTCTGAAAGGAAAAGACTTCTTAAAAAATATTTAAATGTCTTAATTTTTCAGTTTGGCAGACTGGTAATACAAATTAGGAAGAAGTCCCCCTTATCCCTTACCCTAACAAGGATTATCTATATTGCTTTGGGAGCTTTTGGTCAGGGTACATGGCTTACTTTGTGCCCAGTGGCGCAATGCGTCATTGGAGTGATAGCATGCTGATTCCAAATGAGCTGGGATTGAATCTTGGCTGTGTCATTTGCTAAAACATTAACCATAGAAAATTTAAACTTTCTGAGCCTCTTTATTCTCCTTTTACTATAAAGGAGGATAATAATACCTACCTGGTCATTGTTAGAATTGGATATAATTTTCGCCTGACAAAATTATGTGCTTAATAAGCAAATAATGGTAGCAGCATTATCAGTTGGAGTAGCTGAATACATGTGTCCTTTGAGGGTGATATGGTTTGGCTGCATTCTCTCTCAAATCTCATCTTGAATTGTAAGCCCCATAATCCCCACGTTTTGTGGGAGGGATCCCGTGGGAGGTAATTGAATCATGGGCATGGTTTCTCCCGTGCTGTTCTCGCGATAGTGAGCGAGTTCTCATGAGATCTGATGGTTTTATAAGCCTCCGGCCTTTCTCCCGCTGGCACTTACCCTCCTTCCTGCAACGATGTGAAGAAGGACAAGTTTGCTTCCCCTTCTGCCATGATTGTAAGTTTCCTGAGGCCTCCCCAGCACTGTGGAACTGTGAGTCAATTAAACCTCCTTCCTTTATAAACTACCCAGTCTCGGGAGTTCTTTATAGCGGCATGAGAATGGACTAATGCAGAGGGGTAAATTGAAAATCTCTGGAGTTGTTAATTAGGGTGTCATAAACAGAGAAGTTGGAGACATGAGGCATTATCTGTGCTGGGCATGGCTGAGGGGCACATGCTAGCAGAAAGCTTTAGGGAAAGCTTAAAGCATGAAAGGTAGAGATATATATTAAGTGAAATTAAAAGGTGAATTGTAACAACTCCACCTTTTAATGATAGCAGGCTCCAGGAGACAGCCTGCCTTGAACGAAGTGGGAAATTACCTTATATCCTTCAGATCCAGATGGTATTGTGAGACAAAATACATTTTATTGTAGTAACTTTATTATTTTTCTAATATTACAGTTATCCTATGTGCTTATAGTGGATGTTGATATTTTTTCTGTCAGGATCCTTTCCATCTTTTCTGAGAGCACCCCCTAATGTCCTTTAGAGAAAAATCTGTTCCCTTTCCTGGTCTCAGCCAAGTGGTTTGCATGAGATTGATGCTACACTCTGCTCCTTGGGGGTGCACCTTGAATAGCTAAGCCAATTGGTCCATGGAATTACATCTTTTAACAGGGAATGATTTTGGAGCAGGCACTTGAAAACCTGTAAACCTTCTAAATGTCTCAAGACCTTTGCTTGGAATGCTGGGGCATGGATTCTCTTTTCTCCTCCGGACTTAAAAAAAGAAGTGAGAGCTTTGAGATTGGCAGAGTAGAAAAGGCCTGAATAAAGCGATCAACAGCGCGAAAGCAGAGCATAGAAAGGTGACAGTGGGACAATCTGTCACTTTCGGTCTGCACTGGCCAGTTAACAAGCACACTGAAGTTTTATTCTTGCTTGCCATATTATTTCACTATGTGCAAAACTTCATTAGTAAGATGAAAACTTGTCTGAATAGATCCTTACCTGACATTTTGGTTATGTGTGCCCCTAAATGTATTTTCTTTGTATCAGCTAGTTTTGATTGGGTTTTATGAAACTTTAAAGATACTAATGATACACTTGTTGATGATTAAAAATTTAGAAATAAGCCAGGAGAAAAAAATACATTCTGTTTAAAATCTTTATATCAATAAGCCACCATATATTTTGGAATACATATATCCAGTCATCTATTTCTGTGCGTATGTTCATGTATACATTGAAATATTTTTAAAATGGGAATTATTCAATATTGCATTCCTTGTGAACTTTTTTACTAAAATTATAGTCGTTTTTTAATATATCGTTATACTATAATGTTATTTTTAGTGGTTTCATAATTGATTTTATATATATATATATATATATATATATATATATATATATATATATACTGTAATTTAGTTAGACAATTTCTTTTTTCTTTTTTTTTTTTTGAGACGGAGTCTTGCTGTGTCGCCCAGGCTGGAGTGCAGTGGCGCGATCTCGGCTCACTCCAAGCTCCGCCTCCCGGGTTCATGCCATTCTCCTGCCTCAGCCTCCAGAGTAGCTGGGACACGGAGTAGCAGGCATTCGCCACCACGCCCGGCTAATTTTTTGTATTTTTAGGAGAGACTGGGTTTCACTGTGTTAGCCAGGATGGTCTCCATCTCCTGACCTCGTGATCCGCCCACCTCGGCCTCCCAAACTGCTGGGATTACAGGCCTGAGCCACCGCGCCGGCCGACAATTTCTAATTTAATTATCTTACATTAAATAACTAAATTGTAACTATTTTCACTATTATAAGCAATGTTGTGATGAACATATTTGTACATAAAGATCGGCACATATTCTTACATATTTTCAAAGGAAAAATTCTGAAAAGTGAATTTGATGATTAATGGGTTTGCATGTTTTTAAGATATTGATATACAATCATGCATCATTTTACATTGGGGATACATTCTGAGAAGTGCATCATTGGGCAATTTCATGATTGTGCAAACATTATAGAGAATACTTACACAAACCTAGATGGTGTAGCCTACTATACTCTTATGCTATATGCTATAGCCTATTGCTCCTGGGCTACAAATCTGTACCGCATTTTACTGTACTGAATACTTAGGCAGTTGTATCACAATGATAAGTATTTGTACATCTGAAATATCTAAGACATAGTAAAATATGGTATTATAATCTTATGGGATCACTATCATATATACTGTCCATTGTTGGCCAAAATGTCAGGATGTCATGCTTGACTGTATATATGTGGCTTCCAGAATATATATAGCAATTTATACTTCTATGAAGTATAGTGACTGAGAGTTCCTATACTCACAAAACATCTTATACTCATGAAAACATCATTATTACTATTAGAAATTTGTCAATATGATAGATACAAAAGGCTAGCTGTAAGTTACATTCCATATGTAGATGTGTAGACATGAAGTAGAGCTTTTGCAGCTAGCAGTGTGCATAAGGAATTTTTTCTCTTAAAGCTGAAAGAATTTTGAATTATGGTCATGTTTATATGGAACTGCAGGATTAAATAAGTTGGTGGTTCATTTTAGTTGAACAAATAGCTTAATGTATTTTTACTTATTTATTATCTATATTACCTATTTTTAAAGATAGAACACTAAACCCATAGAGGAAGTGTAGTAGAGAAGAAGAAAATAGAGTACTCTATATTGTAGCAACCAATTGTTCATAACTGAGTTCAGTATGGTTTACCTTGCTAAAATATAACGTATGTATGAACTTTTATGAATATGGGATTCTATGAAACAGGCAACATCCTGTTTTTCATCTGGAATTATTTTCTACTATTGTTACTATTCAACTAAAGGCATTTTTAAAGGTTTTTTTCAAAAAGATGATCTAGTTACCCGACATATTTCTCTTTCAAAGGCCAGAGTAGACATGCTTTCAAGGATTCCTAGCAAAAGAATTGAAGAATATACAGAAGAAGATAGGGAAGATAAGGAGAGGCAGGTTCAAAGCAGCATTGAATGATTTGACCCAATTTTGCCCCTAAGTCACCCTGTTTGGTCAAAGAAAGTGTGCAGGTCCTGACTTTCAAGGAACCAAACTTCCCTGTCTTGAAGGCTGAGTGATTGGGGTCACCAGAATGTAACACTTCAAAATACTCGTCTGGTTTGGCTGAAATATCCTCTTAGCAACCCACTGATTCTTTCAGATCAGGGTTAAGGTACATATGACAGCACTGTTACTGACCAGAGAATTATCAGACCCCCAAAGATGTAATTGCTAGCAATATAAGGGGCTGTAGGAGAGAGAGGTTTTTTTTTTTTAATCCCATTTCAAAAATGGCTATACCTTTCTCACCTTGACAGGGAAAGTAGAGCTTCCTGAAATGCTTCCACTAGCTTCTTTGTCTGGGTGACTATGAACACTTGAAGACAGAAACCTTCCTGATCCCTACAGCTATTTCCGTTAACTCCTTGAAGACCAAATAATGTGTGCGCTCAGCTGCTGAAGTGTTTTAATGAGGTGACACTGATTTTAATGGGGCAAAAAAGATGGATGATTTACACCAGATGTCCATAAGGGCCATTCTGGGATTGCTTTGCTGGACACATAGTACATCATGTTGCTCGTTGAATTCTTAAGGGGTTAACTTGACCTTTCCTTTAACACGGCACTAAAAATAATGTAATTTCCATTCTCGGTGTCTCTTTTATTTATATAGAAAAGCTTCATGACAAATCCACCAGGCCTCTGAGAGCAAGTTTCTCATTTATGTCTTTGCCATCCATAAACTCTAGTGGGTGATTTTGAAAGTGAGAATAGACACCAGTGGATGCTTTACTCATGAGCACGAACCAGGCTTTTATTATCAACACTTCTAGCATTGAATCATTCCAAGATGAAAGATTATTTTCTAAAGACTGTTGGTCAGTGTTGTACACCTCATTTCTAAAAAGTTTATTTCCACTCAGATAATCAATACCATTGCCCCTTGGAGTATGAAAATAAAATTAAAAATAAAAAGCATAAGCATAAATATTCTTTGAGACATAAAGTCTTAGGTGTTATATTACATTATTATTCCTTATTTTCTAGATTCTGGTGAAATATGCTTCTTCACTATTTGTTAAAAGTTATAAGATAAAAATTTGACTTTTTTTTTTTTTTTGAGTGGGTTCTTGCTCTGCCACCCAGGCTGGAGTGCAGTGGCCCAGTCTCTGCTCACTGCAACCTCCACCTCCCATGTTCAAGCAATTCTCCTACCTCAGCCTCCCAAGTACCTGGGATTACAAGCGTGCACCACCATGCCTGGCTAATTTTTGTATTTTTAGTAGAGATGGGGTTTCGCCATGTTGGCCAGGCTGCTCTTAAATTCCCGACCTTGAGTGATGCACCCGCCTCGGCCTCCCAAAGTGCTCACAGGCATGAGCCACCGTGCCTGGCCAGGATTCTTAATTCAGAACATTTTCTGGTTAAGAACAGAAGACCAAAGATCTGAGTGTTAACATTTTGTCTCTTGTTTGGATCCAACAACTGCAGTTGACATGTTATCCTGAGGTCATTATGCTCTTATTCCAACTCCTTATGAATAAAGAATGTATTTATTTGGTGGTTATCATGATCTTTGCAGTGAGTGAATCTTCATATTTTGTCATATATTTCCTTTGAAAATCCAATATTATAGTTGATTGCAAAAGAAATCCAAAGCCTCAAAGGCTTATAACAATCAACCAATCATAGAGGCATATTTTTGCAGAGGATTGAGAAAGCAACTAAACAACAATTCATCGTTTCTTTTATCTTCTGCTGCATTTTTAGGGTTTACCTATAAATTTGGATTCTAGATGAGGAATTTCATTTTGCCTTAAAGGTGGCATAGGAATATCAAAAAAATAAAATTTCATAGCAAAAAATAATTTTCGTATTTTTCTTGTTGTAAATTTAAATTTTGCATGTTGTCATTTTTTGGTCTATTACGTTAATGTATTCTTTTGTGATACCTAAATGTATTTTTTTAAATATATAACAATTTGTAAATTATATTGTCTTCTTGAAAAAAGAACTTCTGTGAAAACAAAGACGAAGAAGGAAAAAAATAACTCACAGAGAAAGAAATATTTCTCCCCTCATCTTTTTCTGATATTATCGATCACAGTTTTTTACTTGAGCAATGACGGAAATGTGATTTCTCTTTCTATTCTTAATATGATATTTACTTTCAATGTGAGTTCACAGTTAATTAAGCACAAATATTTTACTCTTGCTCATCATATTATTTCACTGTTTAAGTACATAAACCCTTCATTACAAGTTTAGACAACATTGCTCATATTCACCATTACTATTTTTACTCAGATGAAAAAAGATATTAGATTTTCCACCCATTATCTTTAGTGGACTTAATCCAGTTTTCATACCTTTTGTACCTTGTATGTCTTATGTGTCTGATCTTACAATGCTGTAATAACACAAGCTAACTTTTTGCAACATTTTGCTTTATAGACATATACCTTCCCCCATTTCTTCTTTTGTTGTAAATTTTTAATCTAATCATAAGTAACCTTAAGCACAAAAATGACCCCAAATATTCACCTGTCCCTGTGAATACACTCGTCAAGAGGTGGAGATATTTTGAATCTGGATTGGCCCTGTTAAACTGTGACTTCTATTCATCTAATGTCCAGTTCTGAGTCTAAGCCTTTAAAGATCTTATATACATATCCACCCTTTTTCTTACTCTTCTTCGTTTACTGAGAGAACATACCTGGACTAATCTTCTAGATGACAAGATGCAAATGCCCATTTATCCACATTGTCTCATCAGACATTTCAGTGAGCCTCTAGCCTAGACCAGAAGAACCACCAGCTGAGCCAAACCTAATCCTGTACCCCACAATATTGTGATCCAAAGAATTGCTGATTGCTTTAAGCCACTATTCATGATATATTTTGCTATGCAGCCATAGTTTTAGATTCAATTAGATTTAGGTTCATTGTTTTTTGGCCTTTTGGTTAAGATCAAATATAGATTTAGATTCAAATAGATTTAGAAAGAAAAAAATGGACATCAATTATAGTCAATATGGAGCTATCTACGTGGTAAAGGAGCTTTTGATCCAGTTGACACTGTTGTGCTTTGCTCTACGATGCTCTTTTTGGGGGGCCTACAATTTATTTGCCAAGGTTATTCTTTTAAATGAATATATATTACTTATCTTCTCCAAAATTAGCTATTAGTGTCCAGAAAGGGTTGGTAAGGACAGGGAAGAAGATTTTCCTTTGAGGGTCTCCTTATTTTTAATTTGAGTAGTGATCACCAATATTTTGTAATTAAAACAGATAGTTTTTTGCTTTCAGTTTTTCTGTGTTCTTTATTTTCTTCATAGATGGCTGTTTGATGTCCTTGCTTTATAAAATTAGGCAAATTAAAATTTATTTATTAACTTATTTTACATTTAGCAGTACATGTGCAGGTTTGTTACACAGGCAAATTTTGTGTGACAGGGGTTTGGTGTACAGGCTATTTTATCACCCAAGTAATAAGCATAGTACCTGATAGGTAGTTTCTTGATCCTCACCCTCTTCCTACTCTCCATCCACAAGTAAGCCCCAGTGTCTTTTGTTCCTTTCTTTGTCAGCATATGTACTTGATGTTTAGCTCCCACCGATAAATGAGAATATGTGGTGTTTGGTTTTCTGTTTCCGTTTTAGTATGCTTAGGATAATGGTCTCCAGCTCCATGTTGCTGCAAAGGACATAATCTCATTCTTTTTTTATGTCTGCATAGTATTCCATGGCGTATATGTACCACATTTTCTTTATCCAGTCTACCATTGATGGGAATTTAGGTTGATTCCAAGGCATTGCTATTGTGAATAGTGCTACAGTGAACATACAAATACATGTGTCTTTATAATAGAATAATTTATATTCCTTTAGGTATATACCCAATAAAGGGATTGCTGGGGCAAGTGGTAATTCTGTTTTAAGTTCTTTGAGGAATCGCCAGACTGCTTTCCACAATGACTGAACTAATTTACATTCCCACCAACCATGGTGTATAAGTATTCTTATACACTGCTACTCCACAACCTCACCAGCATGTGCTATTTTCAGACTTTATATGATAGCCATTCTTACTGGTGTGAGATGGTATCTCATTGTGGTTTTGATCTGCAATACTCTAATTATGAGTGATGTTGAGCATTATTTCATAGAACCATTTTTGTGCCCTTGGTGTGTTATCTCTTGGGACTTCAAGCTTAAAAACTTTTAATACTCAGAGCCATGGCAACTGGCAGATGAAAATTTGCAAGTGTACCATTAAATATAATCATGAGAGGAGCTACTCTTCCTTCTATCCTTTAATTCTTATACTTACAAATTCTAAATATGGGAGAAAAGACACTATATGTTGGTTAATGGTTAAGAGCATGTACTACATCCTACAGGACAGAACCTCAGCCTTCCAAGGTGTGGCTCCTCAGTTGGTTGTCATATCTGAATCTTTGGTGGGTAATTTCCCCAGTCTATAAGATCAGCTGCTTCTAGGTGATAGGCAACAAGAGAAGACCAGTGAATCCATTGAGTACTCACCCATCATCTCATTTTATCAATGTAAAGTGAATCTTTGATGAGAGGTAATACTTGTAGGATACAATGATAGGATATAAAGCATTCAATAAGTAAATGGATGGCCTTCTTTTAAAAGTATATTAGATCCCATTTGTCAATTTTTGCTTTTGTTCCAATTGCTTTTGACATTTTCATTTTGAAACCTTTGCCTGTGCCTATGTCCTGAATGGTATTACATAGATTTTCTTCTAGGGTTTTTATCATTTTGGGCTTTACATTTAAGTTTTTAATTCATCTTGAGTTAATTTTTATATAAGGTATAAGGAAAAGGTCCAGTTTTAATTTTCCACATATGGATAGCCAGTTTTTCTGACACCATTTATTAAATAGGTAATCCTTTTCCCATTGCTTGTTTGTATCAGATTTGCCAATGATCAGATGGTTGTAGGTGTGTGGACTTATTTCTGGATTGTCTATTCTGTTCCATTGGTCTATGTGTCTGTTTTTGTACCAGTACCATGCTGTTTTGGTTACTGTAGCCTTGTAGTATAGTTTGAAGTCAGGTAGTGTGATGCCTCCAGCTTTGTTCTTTTTGCTTAGGATTGCCTTGGCTATACGGGCTCTTTTTTGTTTCCATATGAATTTTAAAGTAGTTTTTTTCTAATTCTATGAAGAATGTCAATGGTAGTTTAATGGGAATAACATTGAATCTATAAATTACTTCGGGCAGTATGGCCATTTTCACGATATTGATTCTTCCTGTCCATGAGCATGGAATGTTTTTCCATTTGTTTGTGTCCTCTCTGATTTCCTTTAGCCGTGATTTGTAGTTCTCCTTGAAAAGATCCTTCATGTTCCTTGTTAGCTGTATTCCTATGTATTTTATTCTCTTTGTAGCAATTGTGAATGGGAATTCATTCATGATTTGGCTCTCTGCTTGTCTGTTGTTGGCATATAGGAGTGCTTGTAATTTTTGCACATTGATTTTGTATCCTGAGACTTTGATGAAGTTGCTTATCAGCTTAAGAAGCATTTTGGCTGAGATGATGGGGTTTTCTAGATATAGGATCATGTCATCGCAAACAGACAGTTTGAAAAAGCTATAATCAGAGCAAACAGACAACTACAGAATGGGAGAATTTTTTTTTGCAATCTATCCATCTGACAAAGGTCTAATATCCAGAATCTACAAGGAACCTAAAAAAATTTACAAGAAAAAAAACATTAAAAAGTGGGCAAAGAACATGAATAGACACTTCTCAAAAGAAGACATTTATGAGATCAACAAACACATGAAAAAAAGCCCACCATCAGTGATCATTAGAGAAATGCAAATCAAATCCACAATGAGATACCATCTCACGCCAGTCAGGATGGCGATTATTAAAAAGTCAAGAAACAACAGATGTTGGCAAGACTGTGGAGAAACAGGAATGCCCTTACACTGCTGGTGGGAATGTAAATTAGTTCAACCATTGTAGAAGACAGTGTGGTGATTTCTCAAAGACCTAGAACCAGAAATACCATTTAACCCAGCAATCCCATTACTGGGTATATGAACAAAGGAATATAAATTATTCTATTATGAAGATACATGCACGCATATATTCTTTGCAGTCCTATTCACAATAACAAAGACATGGAATCAACACACATGCCCATCAATGATAGACTGGATAAAGAAAATGTGGTACATATACACCATGGAATACTATGCAGCCATGAAAAGGAACACAATAATGTCCTTTGCAGGGACAGGAAGGGAGCTAGAAGCCATTATCCTCAGCAAACTAACACAGGAACAGAAAACCAAATACCGCATGTTCTCACTTATAAGTGGGAGCTGAGCAGTGAGAATACATGGACATAGGGAGGGGAACAATACACACTGGGGCCTGTTGGAGGGTGCCAGGGGAGGGAGAGCATAAGGATAAATAGCTAATGCCTGCGGGGCTTAATAGCTAGGTAATGGTTTACCTAATAGCTAGGTAAACCATAGCACACGTTTACCTGTGTAACAAACCTGCACGTCCTACATATGTGTCCCAGAACTTAAAATTAAAATATATATATATATATATATATATATATATATATATATATATTAGGCAAAGCAAGCAATTCCAAACTCAAAATAGGTACCTATTTTAGTGAACTGGAAGAGGTTCTATATATATAATTAACTTGCCACCTTCCAGGTAGTTAGTTGACTAGTATCCTGTGATGTATGACAATATATTAAGGTTCTGGGTTGGTCATAGTTTCTTGCAAATTGATTTCTTCAGCAGTGATGAAAATTAGGTAATAGGTAATTAGCCTTGGTAAGGGAAGTTCATGTTTTTGGGTATCCATCCTTGCCCTCTTCAAGGGTTCACTGACCAGGCATTGGACCAGTTGAGAAGAAGATTTATTTATGGCCAGATTTTCTTGTCCTTTTAATTGTTATGAGACCCCTTTAAACTGAGGCCTTTAGGTCCTCATATGGGATGAAATTGTTTTTATATTCTGGGTTTATTCTGAGGTATCTGTGCATATATCTGTTTCTCAAACATTATTGGCACCAATCCTCCAATCTTGTCTCTCTACTTAGCCAGCCAAACTAGTATCTATTATAATTTGGTGTAGGGATAAGTATTCATCAAGACAAAGTTGCATTTAAAATACTGAAAGTTTCATATACTGAGAAATTTTTTTTCTCAACTGTCCTTCAGGGGCTCCTTAGCGGGCAATTGCAGTCTACTTCTGACTGATACCATGCAATCATGTGGGGTCATTTATGTGCCAGGCTCAAATATATTTCTTTGAGTCAACAGGATATAGATAATTGTTTGTAAGGTCATAGATAGGAGTCAAAGGAGAACTGGCAGTTCTATAAGTGTCAGCACGTGGCACTGTGTGTAAACTACTCATGGAATTTATTCGGGTTCAGGAACTACCTGCACTTGGTCAGATATATATTACTTTGACCTGATGATGGAGTTCTGAAGTGTATATCTGGCTTTATGACTGATTTACATCTAATCTATATCATCTACTTCATATATGTGGCTTGGGTCACATGATCACCTCATGTGCCATCCTCATGAGGACCATCTTAACAGAATTCACGACCTAACCAAAAGTTGCTTTTCAAGAGTAGCCATTCCAATGAAGGAATGGATGGTGAGGTTTTGCCTTCTCTTGGTTCCATATCAGATACCAATTTACCACACATACTTTGAGCATAATTTAGTCTTTGTATCATTGGGGATGAATGGCAATACAACCTGGAGCAGCTGGAGTGACTTTTTTCTCCAGACCCCACAGAAAGGAGGTAACCTTTAAGGTCCCTGCTGTAATAAAACAAGGCAACGCACCGAAATGTTGCGTAAGCTGCAACAGTATTCAAAGCACTCTGTCTCTTTCTTGGTGATACAGAATGTAATTCATCATTTATCAACATGTTTTTCATTCCGGAAGGGTCATTCCAGGTAGTGAACATTTCTTAGAATTATTGGTTCTTCCAATTATTGGATGTTTCATTATTTAACCCCAAAACTTTAGGTGGCGGGTCCATGATTTTCATGGGATTTATCTGCTTCACTTAAGTGTGTCAGATTGCTTGCCACTTACTGCTCTTCAGGTCCTATCTGCATTATGTCTTCAATGTAGTGAACCAGGGTGAGATCATGTGGCTTGTTGACATAGTAAAGGTTCCATCAGACAAAATTCAGCCAAAGATTAAGAGGCTAATGTGATATTGAGGCAAGATTTGAAGGTATATTGATGTCCCTGATAAGAAAAGCAAATTGCATCTGGTGCTATCATTTATTGGAATAGAGAGGCAAAAACACTTGAAAGATCAATTATTATATGCCAGATGACATAGACTATATAAATTAGCTTTGTTATCTACTTTAACTATACTGAAATATTAAATGAGGGAACTGACCACAGTCATCACTCCTTCATCTTTCAAATCTTGGATGATGCACACAGATCCTTGGAATAAACCCAGAGATGTAATTTTGCTTTAAATTTTTAGGAAATGGTGATATAATTACTTTTATTTCACCATTTTAAATGTATTATCCCTATTCTGTGAGCCAGGGAGCTAATGTGAGGATTATGTTGGTGGCTGAGTTCATCTATCATAACTCTGTATTCCAGAAAATGGGAAACAATTACAGAATGGTTCTGTTTCTACTGCCTCTGCTCTGCCTCTGCTCTAAGATAGACTTTGTTCAAAATTTTATTTGTTGCCTGATTATCATAAATCTCTTATTTTAGGCTGAATTGGGAATTATGTCCTCCAATAAATTACCTTTAAGCAAGCCTCTGATTCAAAGGCTGATTCAAAGGCTTGGATAAAGGTAATCTACTCGGGGACATAACTCTTTGGGAATAGGTGTTGGGAATGAGAGAAGAATGTATAAAATATTTACAATATTTAGTTGGTCACTATTGTGGGCAATGGGACTCAGTTCTGCTAGGGCCTTCTAAGTGGCTTTATAGAATGTACCTCAGAAATGTCCACCCACATATTTTAAGAAAGTATTTATGCACTTGTTCACTTCTCCAAATATCTGGGTTGCCCTGTGGCATGGTAAGTCCCTGGTGCTTTCAGTTCATGTATGTGTGAAGGTCAAAATAGTTCACACAAGTGTTCCACCATGTTGCCAGACTAATGCTAGTCCAGAAAGTAAGAACAATACATGGACATGGTACAGCTGTAGTGTCAGATGACACCTCCATGAAGCTGCTGCAATAGTGACTGGGGAAAAACACGGGAAAAGAAGATGAAAGAACACAGTGATGTATTAAAGGCCCCTTCTCTGACCAGTGGCATTATGGGTCCCCAGAAACTAGTGAAAGCATATTAATAATTCCCAAAAGGTCTATGTTGTTTTTCTTGGGATCTATCACAATGCTTACTCATAGTATTATTATTGGAAGCTTTTCCTTAATAGTATCTGGCCTCTCCTTTGCTAAAGCTTCTCTGGATCTGGGAATTGACTCAAGTAAGGGAACAGGTTGAGGAAAACTTGCTTTGCATTTTGGTAGTTAAAACTAAGACTTTATTCACTAGATCTGGAGTTTTGATTATACAAAGAAAGTAGGACCTGAGTGAATTTCTCATCTATTTCATTTGTAGGGATCTCATGGTAACTAATCACCACCAAAGGTATCTCCAGTTTGGAACATTATAATCATCACTATGGCCTTGCTGCTTATTACAGTAATCATGTGGTTAAATGTTCCTGCTTGTCCATGGGATCCTGCCATCTCTATTGAGGTTATCTTACCAAGATTTCTTTGAGAGTCATCTATAGATTCTCTTGGGAGATATAATTAGCTTTTTGGAAGGTACATGACACATGAAAAACCTACTCCAATATTTCTATCTTTTTCGTTCCTTGGATTTCATCTTCTGTTTTTTTGTTTGTTTTTTTGAGATGGAATCTCTCCTTATTGCCCAGGCTGGAGGGCAATGGCATGATCTCGGCTCACTGCAATCTCTGCCTCCTTAGTTTAAGCAATTCTCCTGCCTCAGCCTCCTGAGTAGTTGGGATTACAGGCACGCACTACCATGCTTGGCTAATTTTTGTATTTTAGTAGAGACGGAATTTCACCATGTTGGCCAGGCTGGTCTCAAACTCTTGACCTCGTAGTCCACCCGCCTCAGCCTCCCAAAGTGCTGGGATTACAGGCATGAGCCACCACACCCGGCCTCATCTTCTGTTTTAAACCAAGAGATTTATGGCATTTTGTCTTAATTTAAAGGCGTTTATTGTTTTAGAAATTATCCCCATTCTTAATAAACCAATTAACACATCTATAATAGCTCAAATAAGCAAATTTATTTTATAAAATAAGGTAAACTCAAAATCTGTTCTTTTCTCTATCATGCTCTGAATCTATTTCCACACAAACCTCAAATTTCAAATACCTCCAAATAAAATCATGACGCTCAAAAACTTACTTGGAGTATAAGCCTTCTTTTTCTGGGTTTGACTTTGTAATTTCTTTCTGAGGATTTCTGGGTTCTGATTTAATTTATAGTTTAGGAGATGGTAATGGAGAATTATGTGTGTGTGCGTGTAGGGGGGGTGTGGGTGAGGGAGCGGGGCAGAGAAGAACTGATTTCTTCTTAATAGATAACTCCCTCAGCGGAGGGTAAAAGAGTCCCCAAGGAACTCTGGATTGTAACTGTGTTTAAGTTCAACTAGGCTCAATAACCAGTCCAAGGTTCTCCTCATTTCCTTGAGGTTCTCTTGTCTGCATCTGATTTCCTCTTAGTAGTCAAGAATTGTATTCCTGAACAACAAAAACTGACTGTGATTAAGTTAGTCAGGAAAAGACTTTATAGCTATCTGGTAACTCACAGAATCCATAGAAAGGCTGGAGAAATAGTCAAGGCAAGGTACAGCCACAATCCCACATCCAGACGCCACAGCCAGCATCACTGAATATTTGTTGCTATCATTGCTGCCCCTGCAACCACTTGGTATTCATGGCCATGTCACTAACTTCTCTCTTTTTAAAAATAAACACTTTATTTTAGAATGGTTTTAGATTTACAGAAAAATTGAGGAGATAGTAGAGAGAGTTCCCATGCTGTCCTTGCAGTTTCTCCTGTTATTAAGATGTTACTTTAATATGGTGTGTTTGTCACAATCAATGAATCAATATTGATCCAAATTAGCTAAAGTTTATCACTTACTCAGGTTTCCTTAGTTCCTACTTATGCCCTTTTTCTGTTACAGGATCTCATCCAGTATAATACCTTATATTTATTTGTGATATCTTTTTAGGCTTCTCTTAGCTGTGACAGTTTCATAGATATTCCTTTTAATAGCCTTGACAGTTTTCAAAAGTAATGGTTGAGTATATTGTAGAATGCCCTCCTATTGGAATTTGTCTGAGATTTTTCTCATGATTAGACTGGGGTTATCAGTTTTTGAGAGGAAGACCCCAGACGTAAATTGCTATTCTTATCACATTATATCAAAGGTACCTACTATCAAAATGATTTAAGACTGTGATGTTAATCTTGATTGCCTGGCTAAGCTAGTGTTTGCCAGCTTTCTCCACTGTAAAGTTAATATTTTCCCCCTTTGCCATTTATACTTTATGGAAAGAAGTCACTATGTGCAGTGTCTTCCTAAGGAAAAGGGAGTCATATTGCTCTCCTTTAGAATGGAGTATCTATAGATGTTGTTTGACACTCTTCCGCACAGGGGATTTGTCCCTCATGCCCAATTTATTAAGTTGTTTGATCACTCATTTATAGCAATATGGACTCACTGGTATTTATTTTATTCTTTGGGTTATTACCTAAAGCTATTTTCTTTTCTTTTCTTTTTCTTTTTCTTTCTTTCTTTTTTTTTTTTTTTTTTTTTTTTTTGAGATAGAATCTTACTCTTCACCCAGGCTGGAGTACAGTGGTCTGATTATGGCTCACTGCAGCCTTGACCTCCCTGGGCTCAGGTGATCTTCCCACCTCAGCCTCCCAAGTTGGTTGGACTACAGGCACATGCCACGATGCCCGGCTAATTTTTGTATTTTTTGGTAGATACGGGGTTTCACTATATAGCCCAGGCTGGTCTCAAATTCCTGGGCTCCAGCAATCCACCAGCCTCGGCCTCCCAAAGTGCTGGGACTACAGGTGAGAGCCACCATGCCTGGCCTCAATACTTGATATGGTTTTGCTGTGTCCCCACCCGAATCTCATCTTGAATTGTAGCTCCCATAATCCCTACATGTCATTGGAGGGAACTGGTGGGAGGTAATTGAATCATGGGGACAGGTTTTTCCCATGCTGTACTTGTGATAGTGAATAAGTCTCATGAGATATGATGGTTTTATAAAGGGCAGTTCCCCTGCACACTCTCTTGCCTGTCACCATGTAAGATGTGCCTTTTCTCCTTCTTTGCTTTCTGCCGTGATTGTGAGGCCTCCCCAGCCATGTGGGATGGTGAGTCTATTAAACCTCTTTTTCTTTATAAATTACCCAGTCTTGGGTATTTCTTCATCACAGTATGAAAATGAACTAATACAATACTATTTTCTTTACCTCATTACTCAAATTTTTCCAGCTTTGGGAGCTCTTTCAGTTGGCTCCTGTGTCCATTTGACATCTCCCTGTGAATATGTGTGTGTGTTTTAAGCACTTCCTTACTTTTTGACACTACAGAATGCTCTGTGTCATTTTATTTATTTCCTGCTCCAGCCCTAGAATCAGCTGCTTCTCCAATAAGTCTTGGTTACTTTTATTAGAAAATGGCGTTAGAAACCAAGATTTGGATTCTAGATATGCTTATGGCTACTGGGATATCATTTATTTTCGGGTATCTCAGCTGACAGAGCAGAAAAATATATGTGTATAAACTAACCCTTGTATATGTACATTTATCTATATATGTTATATTTATCTGTGTAACCATCCATAACTATAGTATGGTAAACTTGAGTTTTCTGATACCAACAAATCTAATCAATTACTGCATAAATATTTCTAGCCTTCTCCCTTTGCTTATCTGTAAATTCTGACTGCAACAGTGAGAAAACTGGCTCATACCCATCCATTTACTTAATTGTTCGATTCTCATATACATGTAAAATAATATCAATTTTTAACCCATTTCCTATTGTACATTTATCAAATACAGTGCTTATATGTAGTTCCTTTTTTTTAGTCTTACAGATTCTGCTCATTTCCAAAATTACTTACTTCAACAACTTTTCCACTCACCTTCTTCAATGAGATTCTTTGTTATCTTTGTAATACATTTGAAATCTCTTGTCACAGTTGTCTTCATTCCTTCCTGGAATCCCTGATCTTCTAAATGATTTTTAAAAAAATATACACTAATGTTTACTTCTGGTGTTATAAGGTTTTATGTTGTTGGTTTTTGTATGTGTTTTCATGGTTTTCTTTCTTTTTCTTTTTCTTTTTTTGAGGCAGATTCTTGCACTGTCACACAGGCTAGAGTGCAGTGGTGTGATCACAGCTCACTGTAGCCTTGACCTCCCAGGCTCAAGCAGTCCTCCGGCCTCAATCTCCTGAGTAGCTGAGACCACAGGCATGCACCACCACTCCCAGATAATTTTTTTATTGTTTGCAAAGGTGGAGTCTCACTATGTTGCCCAGGCTGGTCTTGAATCCTGAGCTCAAGCAATTCTCCTGCCTTGGCCTCTCAAAGTGCTGGGATTACAGGCATGAGCCACCATGCCTGGCCTTTTATGGGTTTTGGTAAGTGCATAATATCATGTACTCATCCCTGCAGTATCACACAGAATAGTGTCACCACCATAAAGTTACCTTGTGCTTCACTGATTCATCCTGCCTTTTCCTCCTTGATAACCACTCATCTTTTTTAATTTTAATGTTATTTGTAATAATTGCTTCTCCTAGAGCAGGGCTAAGCCATAGGCAATGTGTCCAGAGTTGGCCCACTAATCTTCTTACTGTCTCTATAGTTGTCCTTCTCCAGAATGTCATATAATTAGAATTATATACTGTGTAGCCTTTTAGACTGATTTCTTTCACTTAGCAGTTTGCCTGTATTTAATATTCTGCCATGTCTTTTTGTGGTTTCATGGTTCATTTCTCTTTATAGATGAATAATATATTATTATATGGGTGTATCACAGTTTGTCCATCTACTCACCTATAGAAGGGTATCTTGGTACTTCCAGTCTTTGATGATTATGAATAAAGCTGCTGTAAACCTTTACTTGTGGGGTTTTATGTGGACATAAATTTACAACTCATTTGAGCAAATAGCTAAGAGAGCAATTGCTGGATCATATAATAATAAGACTATGTTTAATTTTCTAAGAAACTGCCAAACAGCTTTCCAAAATGGGTGTACCATACCTCATTCCCACCAGCAATGAATGAGAGATCCTGTTGTTTCATCCTTGTAGCATTTGTTATTTTCAATTTTTTGGATTTTAGTCATTCTAATAGGTGTGCAGTGGTGTCAGACTGTTGTTTTAACCAACAATTCTCTGATGACAAATGAGGTTGAGCATCTTTTTACATGTTTATTTGCTATCTGGATATCTTCTTTGAATTGATGTCTGTTTAGAGCTTTTGCCCATTTAAAAATAGGATTGTTTGTTTTCTTATTATTGAGTTTTAAGAGTTCTTTGCATATTTTAGATATTGTATCTAAAACACACCAGATATGTGTTTTGCAATGTTTTTCTTCAGTCTTTGGCTTTTATTTGTATTCTTTTAACAATATCTTTCACACAGCAGAGGTATCTAATTTTAATAAAGTCCAACTGACCATTTTTCCTTTCATGAATCATACTTTTGGTGTTGTATCTAAAAATTCATCACCAAACCCAAGGTCACCTAGATTTTCCCCTATGTTTTCTTTTAGAATTTGTATATTTTGTGTTTTACATTTAGGTTTATAATGTATTTCACATTAATTTTTGCAAAAGATGTAAAATCTATGTCTAAATTCATTTTATTTTTGCACATAAACCTCCAGTTTTCTAGCACCATTTCTTGTAAAGACTATCCTTTCTCCATTGAACTGCCTTTGCTCTTTTGTCGATGATCAGTTGACTAAATTTGTGTGGGCCTGTTTACAGGCTTCCTATTCTGTTCCATTGAGTCTATTCTTTCATCAGTACCACACTCTGTGGATTACTGTAGCTTTATAGTAAATCTTGAAGTTTTGGGATGTCAGTCCTCCAACTTTGTTAGTATTGTGTTGGCTATTCTCAGTCTTTTGCCTTTCCATATAAACTTTAGAATTGGCTTGTTGATAGCCACAAAGCACCTTGCTGGGATTTTGTTTAGGATTGCATTAAATCTATGAATAAAGTTGGGAAGAACCAATGTCTTAACAACCTAAGATTATCCCAGTCTCTGAACATGGAATATCTCTCCATGTATTTAGGTATTCTTTGATTTCTTTCTTCAGCATTTTGAAGTAGTCTGAATGCAGAGCCGTATTTTATTAGATTTATACCTGAATACTTTAATTTTTGGTGCTGTTGTAAATGGTAATTTTAAAAATTAAAATTTTAATTATTTATTGCTGTTACATAGGACAGTAATCGACTTTTGTATGTTGTGCAAGTCTGCTATAATTGTTATTCTTGTTCCTCTAGGTAAGGTGTTTCTTTTCTCTGATCCTCAACTTTTTTCATGATTTTCTCTTTGTCTTTGGCTTTCTGAAATTAGAATATTACATGGCCAGGTGTGTGAGTGTGTGTGCACTTATGTGTGCATGCATATGTGTGTGTGTATTGGGTATATTTCCTGTTTGGTGTTGTCTGAACTTCCTGGATCTATGGTTTCTGTCTGTCATTGATTGATTTTGAAAAGTTCTAAGCCACTATTACTTCAAATATTTATTCTGCTCCATGCTCTTTCATTTCATATATTCCAATTATGCATATTATAACTTATTAAGTTGTTCCACAATTCTTGGATGTATGTACACTATTTTTAATTATTTTTTCTCTTTGAATTTCAGTTTGGGAAATATCTACTTACTTTTAAGTTCGCTAATTCTTTTCTAAGCTGTCAATTTTATTGATGAACTCATCGAAAGCTTTCTTTATTTCTATTATAGTGTTTTTTGTTTCTAGAATTTCCTTTCAATTATTTCTTAAAGTTTCCTTATTTCTTCTTACTTTACTTATCTGTTCTTGCATATTGTCTACAGTTTCCATTAGAGCCCTTAATATATTAATTGTTGTATTTTAAATTCCTTCTCTGATTATCCTAATATCAGTATCATGTCTGAGTCTGACTCTGGTGCTTGCCTTTTCTCTTCAGACTGTGTTTTCTCTTACCTTTTAACAGACTTTGCAAATTTTTATTGGAAGCCAGGCACGTGGACTCAGGTAATGGGGACTAATGTAAATAGCCCTTGTAGGAGTTATGTTAATGTGACTAGGACTTGTGTTGTGTTAATGTTTGCTGTAGCTGTAGGTGCTAGAGGCTTCAAATTCTCCTGGTATCCTTGTTTATCTCTTCCCTCTTAGGGCTTCCCTAAGTATTCCTCTTCAGAGATAGTGTGTGTCTGGCAGTTTGCTCAGCTGTAAACCACTGTTATTTTACTGAAGCCCTATTGTGGTTGTGAATTGTGGGGGAGAGGGAGCATCCTATTCCAATTAACACTCAGTCTTTTTGTTGGCTTGTGTCTTAAGGCTGACCTTCACAATCTTTTTTTAATTCTATTTTATTTTTTTTTTTTGATGGTACAACTTTTACCCCCTGCCTCCTACTTCTTTCTTGGTGGCAGTATTTCCTTTTTATATCCTTCAGATACATGACCACAGTTGAGTAGTTTTCTGCCTCCTGCTGAGGTGAGATAGAAATTTGAAGAGAGAGAAAGTAGCAGTAAAAATTATTATTATTATCAACTAACTAATCTTCTCTCTTCAAGTTTCCCAATGGTTGAAATGAACCATGAGAAAATGCCTGAAAACCACTGATGGTGGAATGGTTCCCTGGGCCAGGTTTGTGGTGATCTTGAATCTTCTGAAGTCATCTCAGGATGTCATGTTTGAAGATGGCCTTTGACAGCTGCTTTTGATGAGCATCCCGCTTCACTCACTTGTGCCACAAGCATGTACCTCACAACTGTGCTTTTAATAATATAACTGTGCTTTTAATATAACACATGGTTTAATTAGAGACTTAAATCCAGGAAACCTCTCAAGTGACTACATTGTATTAGGTGTGTTCTTATATATTATCCCATTTACTTATCATTAAAAGCTTAATTGAGTAGGCATCATTATTTCCATTTTTTACAAATAACAAAACTGAGGTTTAGGGCGATTAACTACAAACTGTCTACAAATTCTTTCCTTCTAGCTGAGAGAATGCTCCAGCAAAGTCTTTTCCTCTGGAATACAGGTCTTGGTTATAACAAAGCTGTGGGCATATTTCACGATGATTACTCTTCTCTTTCTGCCAGATTCAGGAGGGCATCTTTCTCAGATCTTTACCATAAAAACCTTTTAGACTCCCTGGAGATAAAGCTGACAAAAACATGGGAGCACCCTTAAACCTGTGGCTCCCAGAATTTTCTCACTCTTACAGTAGCCTCAAACTAAGCCTCTATTCCTAGGTTAAAATTACCATTTAACTGTTTCTACCAGTTAATGACACGAGCAGCTTCTGTTCTGGGTAAGCAGATCTCAGCTGCGATTGCCTGGATATGCCTCCAGATTCTGTTGCAGCTGTTTACATGGAGACCTAAGTTCTCTGATAGATATGAGAAATAATTCATTTTCATTTGTCCAGCTCTTTTTTGTTTTAAGGACAGAATTAAGACTGCCATGCTATTTCTATGTCAGAACTGAAACTGTAAGTTCGTCATTGAACTCTTGGATCCATTGAAATAATTCCTGATGATTATATAGTAAACTGTCGTGTCACTTGGTCAGTATAGAGTCCTCCCTTTCAACAGGCTTCTCTAACAACAGGACACTGAGCTCTGCCTCTCACATAAAGATTCCTCTGAAAGAGCAAAGGTGTTTTGGTTCTGCCAGCCAATCAAAAGACTGTCTACAAAATGTTCGACAGCAAAATTCCAAGAATGTTTCCTCCAGTTGAGTATGTACAATTAAATCAATCCACTCACAGTGCTGGCTGTTGTAAAATATCACTGAGTGATCTTTTAGATGATGTCACACCCCAACCTAAATAAACATAGTTGCTCCTCATTTTTTTAGGACACAGACCAAAACCCTTAGTCAGGCAAATGAGTTATTCCATGATCTGCTCCTGACTCCTGCTCCGGTCAATTCCACTGTTCCTTTTATTCAATAACCTGTATCCATACTGGCCTCCTTAAGTCCTTAAACATCTTTTCCCATTTCATAACCTTCACATGTGCAGTTGCCTATGACTATAACATTCCTCCTTTCCCTGGGTAACTTTAGTTCATACTTAAACTTGCAGCTTACTAGTTTTTCAGGGAAGGCTTCTTGGGTCTTCAGATCAAGATTAAGTCTCCTTCATTGCAAGCGTTCACAGAACACTACATATTTTTTGGCAAGTATCACAACTGTCATTAATTATTTACATTATCATGTAATTCTTTGTTTAATATCTATCTTTTCAATGGACTATAAACTCCAGGAGGTTAGGGACTGCCTGTCTTGTTCACTGTTGTACCCCTTGTACCAGCAGAGTTCCAAGACAATATTTTTGAATGGATAAATGATGAATAAATAAATTCAATCTTTAATTACATTTATGGAAAACTAAATCCTTGATTTAGAATTAGAAGCTACAGAAACATATAGAGGCAATAATGAAATGAACAAAGATTGCCAAGGAGAAAACTAGGAGAAGATATTTAATATGAATAGTAATAAAAAATTTCTCCCCTAGAGACACTCAATTAATACTTGTATGGAGACTAGATTTCTTACAGTTTTCCAGAGGTGGATGTGACTTAATATTTTTGGATACCAAAGGAAAGGATGAACTCAGAATGGTGGAGAACTCATGGCCACTCAGATTACAGCATCAGTAAAAATGATTACTATTATTATTATCAACTAACATCTTTTCTCTTCAAGTTTCCCAGTGGTTGAAATGAACCATGAGAAAATGCCTGAAAACCACTGATGACGGAATGATTCCCTGGGTTTATGAATGTCACACTTCACTCACTTGTGCAGCAAGCATGCACCTCACAACTGTGCTTTTAATAACACATAACATAAATGGTTTATTAGATAGCAATTTAAATCCATCAAACTTCTTAAGTGACTACATTGTACTAGGTATTCTTCTATATTATCATATTTAATTATCATTAAGAACATCATGAAGTAGGCATCATTATTTCCGTTTTTTACAAATAACAAAACTGAGGTTTAGGATGATCAAGTAGCTTAGTCATGATCATATAGTTAATTTAGTGTCATGAAGAATATATGAATCTTAGCTTTCTGAGACCCTTGAGATTATAAGCCTCATTTTGTGAACAGCTTTATAGTCATTATCAGTATCTATCGCATTTCTGGAATTATGTTATTATTTGGTACTGCCTTTCATATGTAATTACTGCCCAAATTACCTTAAACAATGATGATATTAAACCTGTGCATTCACTGAGCAGTGACACAGATGGATACTGTGTTTTTGTTTCCAGTTGTATAACTATTGTCCCACACCCAATCCGAAGAAAGAATCCTGGACTCTCAAAACCAAAGCTCTTCATAAACGTATATTTAACAAGAAAAAAAATGGAAGTGTGCAGGATATTACGGTTCTGCAAGCAGCTGTTATGCATAGAAAGTGAGCATACTTTATGGCGGTTTTTAGTATCTACTCCAGCTGCAAAAGTGTAATATAATCTAAAAATTATACAGAGTAGTATTCATTGAAATGTGTAAACTTTATTGACAAGAAGACAGCTTCAAAAGAAATAACAGAGCCCATTTTTTTGTCAATTTTGTTTGGAGGGATTTTTTTGTAAATAACAGAACAGAGCATGATAACTTATATGACACTTTAAATTGCATCTCAGGGCACCCAGCCAATTTTGCAACTTGCATAGCATGAGAAGAAAGCAATTTTGTCAAACCAGAACACAAGACAATCTTAATAAATGTGTTATGAGTTGTTACTTATATAGATGATGTGTATATGTATTATACATACTTGTTACATAGATATAGGCACATACACACATACATACATGCACTCACACACAGTTTGTTTTTGTTGTAACGAAAACCAAGTGAGAATGCAGGTGACACAGGGCAAACCATTACTGGAATAAATGGAGAGTTTATTCTTAGAGCAATGAATATTGTACCTCACAATCTATTTGGTATGTGACTGTTTCCACACTGAGAAATTTTCCTTTTACTGGTTTGCTAAGTTTTTTTCTGTTGTGTATATATTGAGATAATCATAATTTATCTTCTTAATATATTAGCATCATAAATTATTTTAATAGGTAGTTTTTCATCTTTGCATAAAATAGGAATTACATATTATCTGTTCCTTGAATGATTTATTGAATTTACTTATAAAACAATTGAATATAGGTTTTGAGGTTATTGGTCTATGCTAATAAACACTAATCCAAATTTTTTTTCTTCTTGGACTATTTTTGTAAGAAGCATATTATTTCTCTCAGTTTTCAAACTTATTAGCCTATGGGCTTTTGATAATATTATTTTTATTATTTTAGAACTACCTTTTTGGTCTGGAATTTTTTTTTATATAATTGGAATTTCTTTCATTTGCGTCTTCTTTTATTTTTTGTTGAATCTGTCTTGCCAGAGGTTCATGTGAGTAACTTTAAGTCTCAGTTTTCTGTTTTACAAATATTCTCTACTGTTTTTTGTTCTGGATTTATTAATTTTTCTTTTATCTTTATTATTTCTTTCATTTCTATTTTTAGTTTTTCTCTGTGACTATCATTTAATCTTTTTGAGTTGAATGGTTAGCTTCATTTTATTTTATCTTTCCAGTTTTTCAACTTTGTATATGTAACACACATTGTGGATTGCAGGGTTTTTACTATTTAATTCTAAATATTTTATTTTTTCTTTAGTATTTACTTTTAAATGCAAAGAAGTATATTACTTATATGTCATATATATGGGACTTTTACTTAGATTTTTTATATTGATCTACAGTACTGTCTTCAGAGAACATAAACTGTATGATTTCATCCTCTGGAATTTTTTTTTTTTTTTAAGAGACAGTGTCTTATTCTGTGCCCAGGCTGGAGTGCAGTGGCAAGATCAGAGCTCGCCTCATTTAATTATCATTAAAAACATCATGGAGTAGGCATCATTATTTCTGTCTTTTACAATAACAAAACAGGTTTAGGATGATCAAGTAGCCTTGAACTCCTAGACTCAAGCAATCCACTTTAGCCTTCCAAGTAGTGAGGACTGTAGGCACATGCCACCACACCTGGCTGATTTTTTTTTTACTTTTTTTGTAGAAATGGGGGGGTCTCGCTATGTTGCTCAGGCTGCTCTTGAACTCCTGGTTTCAAGCCTTCCTCCTGCCTGGTCTCCCAAAGTGTTGGGTTTAGAGGCCTGAGCCACTATGCCTGACCTTCTCTGGAATTTATTGAAGTTTCTTTTGTGGCCAAGTTCAGAACCAATTTTTGTAATGTTTTGTGTTTGCTCAAAAATAAAATGTGTATTCTATATTTTTAAGTAAAAATATTTTAATAAATAGTATTTTGAAGTTATTAATTGAATTATTTAGGTGGTGTATATCCCACCTAGTATTTTCTTGGATTTATCTATTTTTTTCTGAGAGGGATACATTAAAATCAACAATAACAATTATTGATTTGCGTGTATATAATTTTTTAAATTTACATATTCTTTTTGTCTCTCTGTTAATTTATTTTGTTTTTAATTTTTTCTTTGGTAATTTCAACTTTTATTTTAGATTCAGGAGGTACATGTGCAGGTTTGTTACCTGGGTATGTTGTGTGATGCTGAGGTTTGGGGTATGAATGATCCTGTCACCCATATGGTGAGTATAGTACCCAATAGTTAGGTTTTCAACCCTTGCTCTCCTCCCTCCCTCTGCCCTCTGGTATCCCGAGTGTTTACTGTTGCCACCTTTATATCTATGTGCGCCCGTTGCTTAGCTCCCACTTACAAGTGAGAACTTGTGGTATTTGGTTTTCTGTTCCTGCATTAATTCACTTAGGATAATGGCCTACAGCTACACCCATGTTGCTGCAAAAGATGTGATTTTGTTCTTTTTTGTGGCTATGCAGTATTCCATGGTGTATATGTCCCACATTTTCTTTATCCAACTCACTGTTGATGAGCACATTGGTTGATTCCATGTCTTTGCTATTGCGAATAGTGCTGCGATGAACATACAAGTACATTTGTGTTTTTGGCAGAAAGATTTATTTTCTTTTGGACATATACCCAGTAATGGGATTGTTGGGTTGAGTAGTAGTTCTGTTTTAAGTTCTTTGTGATATCTCCAAACTGCTTTCCCCAGTGGCTGAGCTAATTACATTCTCACCAAGAGTGTATAAGCATTTCTCTTCTCCACAGCCTTGCCAGGATCTATTGTTTTTTGAATTTTTAGTAATAGCTAATCCGACTTGTGTGAGATGGTTTTGATTTGCATTTCTCTAACGGTTAATGAGGCTGAGCATTTTCCTATGTTTGTTGGCAGCTTGTGTGTCTTCTTTTGAGAAGTGTTCAGTCATGTCTTTTGCCCTCTTTTTAATGGACTTACTTGTCTTTTGCTGTTGAATTAAGTTCCTTATAGGTTTTGGATATTAGACCTTTGTTGGATGCATAGTTCATAAATATTTTCTCCCATTCTGTAGGTTGTCTGCTTCCTCTGCTGATAGTTTCTTTTGCTGTGCAGAAAGCCGTTTGGTCTCACTTGTCAATTTTTGTTTTTGTTGCAATTGCTTTTGAGGACTTAGTCATAAATTCTTTCCTAAAGCCAATATCCAGAATGGTGCATCATAGGTTTTCTTTTAGGATCCATATAGTTTGAGGTCTTACATTTAAATCTTTAGTTCATCTTGAGTTAATTTCTGTATATTGTGAAAGATAGTGGTCCAGTTTTATTCTTCTGCACATGGCTAACCAGCTATCCCAGCACCATGTTTTGAATAGGAAGTTCTTTCCCTATTGCTTATTTTTGTTGACTTTATTGAAGATAAGTTGTCTGTGGGTGTGCAGCTTTATTTCTGCGTTCTCTATTCTGTTCCATTGGTCTATGTGTCTGTTTTTGTACAGTGCCATGCTGTTTTCATTACTTTAGCCTTATAGTATAGTTTAAAGTTGGGTAACATGATGCCTGGGGCTTTGTTGTTTTTGCTTAGGCATGCCTTGGCTATTCTGGCTCCTTTTTTGGTTCCATATGAATTTTAGAATAACTTTTCCTAATGCTGTGAAAAATGATGGTAGTTTGATAGGGATAGCATTGAATTTGTAGATTGCTTTGGGCACTATACCTGTTTTAATGCCATTGATTCTTCCAATCCATGAGCATGGAATATTTTTTCCATTTGTTTGGGTTATCTATGATTTCTTTCAACAGTGTTTTGTAGTTTCCCTTGTAGAGATCTTGGTTAGATGTATTGCTAGGGTTTTTGCAGTGTGGCTATTGTAAATAAGATTACTGCGTTACATAGTCTAAAACAATATTGTGAGGTGCAGGTATGTTACTTTTACTCCATTGTTTCTTTGACCAGTAAGTAACATATTTTGTGCTTTATGATACCTTTTTGCCTTGAATTCTATTTTGTGAGAAATATTCACTACTCCAACTTTCTGTTGACTTATGTTTGCCCGACACATTATTTTCAGTCTTAAGTTGTCAACTTTTTGATATTCTTTAAGTGTGTACCTTAAAGACCAGTGCTTCTCAAACCAACTGGGGGAAAATCCAGGTTTTCTAAATTTTCTATTCTATTTCTGTATCTTCCTTTGGTAAAATGCAATAAGTATGTTTTCTAAAAAAGAAAATAAGTAAAGCCATTCAAAATACAAGCCTACTTGTTATTATTAGCTTAGACAGACATGGAATTACTTTGTCAAATTTCTGTAACATTTAACACATTCTAACTCAATTTCTACAGTTATTTTGTCACAGATTAGTAACAAATAGGTTACAGACAGTTACTAATCTGCATGTACTTTGTATAGCCCCTTTGTGGGAAACTATTGCTAGATCTTGGTTGTTTTGTTGATCTAACTGGAGAATCTGCTTTAATTGGTGAGTTTAATCCATTTAAGTGCATTACAATTACTATTATGTTAAGATTTATTTCTGCTATCTAAAGTCATAATTTTTATTTACCTTTAAAATTATAAATATGACAGTTTCCAATTCAGACTGATATGTTATTGTATTTGTGACTCAAATACCACAAATTGTTTTACTGATGCAATATTTTTAAAATAGTTAATAATTCTGGGTAAAATTGTGAATAAAAGAAAGCATGCTTATTCCTGGAATATATCAACATATATTTAAAGCACAACCATACTTTATTTTTATATAAAACAGTTATATTCTGGGCTCAGATAATCATACCAGTGACTAAAAGAGATTAACGCTGATTCACAGAGGGAATGAGAGGCAACAGAGAGCCAGACTGTATTGATATTTCCCTGCCCTTCCCTTGATTTGGTGACTTTCGTACTTTTTGCTTTAGTTGGTTCTAATTGAATTTCTGTTTCTTGCTACTAAAACAATCTGAAAAATAATATGGTTATTTATCAGCACAATATTATTTTACATCAAGGATAATCAGGTATCATTACAGGATGCTAGAAGGAGCAGAACAAAGATGTTTAATAAAGCCAAAATAATGAAAATTATAGCAAACGGAAAATTATTTAAAATTACGATGGATTATACTATTAAAATAAACTCATAGGAACACTCACTGTGTGAAATTGAAACCTCGTGTATGTATTTTTAAAATGAAAATAGATTAGATAAAGAAATTGTGTGCCAAGTTTAAGTATTAAAGAAAGTGTCTAATCATAACTAAAACATTAAATCTATTCCATGTAAATTCCCTTTCTGAATGGAAAACTAGGACACTTGCTTATCATATAATCTTTACTGGGTATTATTAGGTGCTCTCTGACAAGACAAATGTTTTCATTGGAAATGGCTACCTTATGATATAGTAGATGTTTTCAGGATACCAGCGTGTAATAATTTTGTCTTTGGTTCAGCTTTGGTGTGGATGTTCTTTGTAAAGTCTGCAGAAGAAGAAATTTCCATTACAATTGAATGTTTCATTATATAGAGGTCAGGTATAAAATGTGTGCTAAGATGTCTCAGGTAATGGAACATTAATTCAAAACAATGAAATGTTAAAGAATGCTAAATACCACTACTTCTGTCTTGTGTTGTTCCTTCAGTAGAGTATGAAGCATGTGCTCTTTGATAATCAACTATAGTTAGAGATGAAGGACACGGAAATTAAGATGTAAGAGGACAATCATTTAAGGGAAACTTTAATGAATAAATCAATATATTCTCTCAGTTTTTAAAAGTTTTTAAGTTTTTAAAAATATGTGATACTCATATACATGCAAATATTGATGCATTGAGCCTACAAAGTAAAAAATAAAAGCTAATATATGTTTAATTTTTGGCTAATTTATCCCTTTTTTTAAATTACAATTGCTCTTTGTCATTATGGGAACCACCAGTTTCCCAACTCTCCCCTGTTCTGATCCATAACAGTTCTCCTGAGTTCATTTGCTGGTCCACCCAGCCTGGATCCCAAGGTTAAATTTTTAGAATTGATAAACGAAGAAGCAAAAGAAAAGTCAGAAAAATAGTAGGTGTCAAAATGAGGACTCAAGATCAAGTGCTACTGCTACCAAGGCCTTAGTAAAGTCTGCTATTACTGCCACTTCCTTCCTTAATATAACAATATATTATAGCGTTAACTTTAAAATAAGAACTTAGTATTCATTTTTATCTTTTTCTTAGAGCAGAACAAGCACCTGATATATACTGTAGTAGGAAAAAATACATATTTTGTGTATGAGAATGATATTGCCTGTTCTCTTTTAAATGTACACTTTATTAACATTTTTTGATGTTGATTAATAATCAAGTTCTGATTACACAGACACAAGTGTATATATATTCATTTTATCTACTAGAAAATTTATTAATACTATAAATTAAGGCATTGGATTATAGAGAAAAGTGCCTTTATTTATTTAGCAATGGATTATGAAGATAAAAATAATATTCTAGTAAAAGTGCACATATAAGCTTTTAAAAATGTTAGTTAAACAGGAAGGAAAACAGGAGCAGTATAGGATCCATACTGCTCAAAAATACTAAAACGGATATATTATCAAATTTGGTGGTAGAAAAGCAAAGCAAAAATAGTTTTAAATTATTTGCTTTGATAGAAAGTGTTATTCTCTTTTATCTTTCATCAGTTTGTTTGCTTCTCTATGTAATCCAATGAAACCAACAGTTTTTATTGTGTGTCAAACTGACATTCAGGTAATGAAACAAATCTGCAATTCTGCTGGAAGTTATGGTCTAATTCTTGAACAAAGAGCATTTTAAGTCTCATTATGTATTTTACTGAATTGTTGATTAACTTTTAAAATTTTATTGCTGTTATTAAGTATAATACAGAATGATTTGCAATATTTCAACATAACTCTATTTACTACAAACAATTGGAAATTATATGAATCAATATATCCTGTATATTCTTTGCATTATTAACAATGTAACATAAAGAAAAATCATAATGACACAGGATTTTCTTCTCAGTCACTGCAAGCCAGGGACCTCTGGCTGGCAATGCCTCACCTGGGCCTCACTCAGCCATGCTGCCTGCTGCAGGAGATAGCCACCCACTTGGCCCACCTGGTCTGAGTCTGGCCTGTGCACTGGCTCCCAAGTTCTTGTCCCACGCCCAAGAAGAATGAGGATGCACTGACAATCAAAGCATGAGCAAGGTGGAGAATTCTATTGGGTGATGAAACAGCTTTCCATGGAGAGAGGATGCAGGGGTGGTCCCCCTACCTCAAGGTGTAAAAGTCTCCTTAACATGGCTGAGTGCATGGCTTTTTATGGGCTCAGAATGGGGGAGGGGTAGCCCATAGTTAATATTGAAAAAGGCAACATTCAATTGGTTAGAAGGCATTATTCAGAAAGAATCAACTGGGAAAGGGTGGGCAAACAGTAACAGAAGTTCTCACTCTGGGTGGCAGGTTTCATCTGGGACCAGCAGTCTGGTCTCTTTCAGCATTCAGGCTGTTTTTGGCTTGAAGGTGGGGTTTCTCTGGGGATGTTCCTATCTGCCTAGGCATCTGGCTGCCTCCTGCCACTCTCAATAACAGTGAAAGTATCTAAATAGAATGACAAAATGACCAACCATCATCTCAATTTTAAAATTTATGGCTCAGAAATAACACCACACATCTACAACCATCTGATCTTTGACAAACCTGACAAAAACAAGCAATGGGGAAAGGATTCCCTATTTAATAAGTGGTGTTTGGAAACGGGCTAGCTATATGCAGAAAACTGAAACTGGACCCCTTCCTTATACCTTACACAAAAAATAACTTGAGATAGATTAAAGACTTAAATGTAAGACCTAAAACCATAAAAACCCTAGAAGAAAACCTAGGCAATACCATTCTGGACATAGGCATGGGCAATGACTTCGTGACTAAAACACCAAAAGCAATGGCAACAAAAGCCAAAATTGACAAATGGGATCTAATTAAACAAAAGAGCTCCTACACAGCAAAAGAAACTATCATCAGAGTGGACAGGCAACCTGCAGAATGGGAGAAAATTTTTGCAATCTATCCATCTGACAAAGGGCTAATGTCCAGAATCTACAAAGAACGTAAGCAAATTTACAAGAAAAAACAAACAACCCCATCAAAAAGTGGGCAAAGGATACGAACAGACACTTCTCAAAAGAAGACATTTATGTGGCCAAAAACATATGAAAAAAAGCTCATCACCACTGGTCATTAGAGAAATGCAAATCAAAACCACAATGAGATGCTAACTCATGCCCGTTAGAACGGTGATCATTAAAAAGTCAGGAAACAACAGATACTGGAGAGGATGTGGAGAAATAGGAACACTCTTACACTGTTGGTGGAAGTGTAAATTAGTTTAACCATTGTGGAAGAGAGTGTGGCAATTCCTTAAGGATCTAGAACCAGAAATACCATTTAACCCAGCAATCCCATTACTGGGTATATACCCAAAGGATTATAAATCATTCTACTATAAAGGCACGTGCACACATATGTTTATTGCAGCACTATTCACAATAGCGAAGACTTGCAACCAACCCAAATGCCCATCAATGATAGACTGGATAAAGAAAATATGGCACTTATACACCACAGAATACTATGCAGCCATAAAAAGGATGAGTTCATGTCCTTTGCAGAGGCATGGATGAAGCTGGAAACCATCATTCTCAGCAAACTAACACAAGAACAGAAAACCAAACACCACATGTTCTCACTCATAAGTGGGAGTTGAAGAATGAGAACACATGGACACAGGGAGGGGAACATCACACACCAGGGCCTGCTAATTTTTGTATTTTTAGTAGAGATGGGGTTTCTCCATGTTGGCCACACTGGTCTTGAACTCCTGCCCTCAAGTGATCCACCCACATCAGTCTCCCAAAGTGCTGGGATTACAGGCATGAGTGAACACGCCTGGCACCCCTATCTTCTAGCTCTTCTAAACATTCCCCACATCTGCTTTCTCTAGTGGCAACTTTAATGATTAGCCCTCACTGGCACCACTGTGTCCAAAAGAGAGAAAGTAAATGGCTGGAATAGGAATGAGGGACAATAAATGAGAAGAGAGGCAAAAATACAACACATTTTCTTAAAAAAAAAAAAAACAGATAATTTCATTCCTTTCAACAAATTATGGGCTATTTGCCTACCTAATTTGATCTTCCTCCAAGACCCCAAATTCACTCACACTCATTAATCATTTTTGAAAATAAAAGAAAAATGCATACTAAATACACACCAAGTCAAGTTATGTTGATGTTTTTCTCTCTTCACTCCTGTAACTGATTTTGGCACCTTAATACAGTGATGATAACACGCAAATCCTTATACAATAACCTAGTTAGTATTCCTACAATAAATAATTCCCATTTCCATCACTTTTAAAGCATCATTGCAAAAAGTAGAGCACAGCAATGTGGCCTTATGTTTCTTATTTTCCAGATCAATTTGTTTTTTTTTTAATTTATAATCAGCACAACTGACACTTCCTAATCATATCAAACATGCCAATCCTTTCAGAAGCAAATCTGATTTAACATCAAGGAGCCTGGCTTGTGCTCACAGAGGAGATTTCCCCTGACTGATCTCCAGAAGTTTTTGGCTGCTACTTAACACATTTACAGAGTTGAGATTCAAACCAGTTTCCTAATACTTGACGGGGAAAAATCTCTTTCGACTGAGCCAAGGAATCTACTCTCTGGTCAGCATAACAGAAAGTATGTGCGGGCAGGTGACATTGGAGTTTCTTGTTTGCATTTTTGGTAGAGAAAAGAGAATCATATGCACACAAACGGAAATTGATACTGAAAAACTCTGGAATAAAATAGAAACTGCTGCTTTGAGGGTAGAGATGTATTCACCTTAAACTTTCAAAGAGATATATGGAGGGGAAAAGAATATAGGCTTACCTTCCTATTTTGTTTTGCATCTCAGAAGAGTTTAACCTAACAGACAAATACCACTGATCCTATCTTAAGGGATACATAATTTTCCAATAAGGCACTTTGTGGGTATTTTTGGCCTATAAAACAGATAGTGGATGAGCTCTCCTTGCTAGCTGCAAGCTGGAGCTTGTGTCAGGCTTCACTAGGCACACAAGGCTCTGATTTTGTATCATTAAAGACTCATTATCTCTTTTAACTTCTGTTGAAAGCATTCATCCATAGCTCTAGCTACTACCGAAACAATAGAGACTCCTAGCACAGTAATAATGCCTTTTTTTTTGGCCAGTTTAAAGAGACTTTAAGGGATGGTTTGGCTTTCACAACGCAGAAACAAAAAGCTACTGCTCAGGAAAATATGAGAGGTTGTTTCTATAAGTAACTTCAATTTTAAAGAGTGGCAGAAAATCTTCTGATGTGAGTGTCTCAGAGTTAGGAGTCTGCGTATACCTGAATGCTAAATTCCTATTGGGGAAATATTACGTTTTCCAAGGAAGAATGGCATGCCTTACTTATGCTTAACCTCAAAGAGAAAAAATACTTTAATAAGAATGAAACGGGCTTGGTGTATTGATCTTGCCAATTTGTTGGATATTAATATATATTTGGCAGTGAGCTAAACTCTCCATTGAATTCAACAGTGGATTATATGAACAGTAATTTCTACATTTGCCAGCTTTGTTTACACTTTCATTATACCTCTACTGCATTATCTGATGCCTTCATACAGTTTTCAATCTTATAGCCACTTTAATCTCCTCCTGCACTCAGCATATCTCAGTGAGTTTGTTGGCATAAGGGAATTTTGAAGGTTATATTACAGTACATGAATCAACGGAAAATGAAATGCACTGGAGACACGATCAGCCGGTTTTAATTCATTGCAGAAAGTTATAGATACCAAAATGCATTTAATGTAATCTGATCTCTTTATTCAGTCCTGAATTTATGAGCAATTCACCAGGAGTCAAATGACAACTTTGTTTTAAAAATAGTAGTCTATATTGAATGCCATTTTAATATATCTCTGACATATTTACATTTAAAAAGTGGGAAAAGTGGGATGTTTGAACATAAATTTCTCTTTTCATAGAAAAGAAAAACCTGAGACAGATGGTACTTTTGTTCATTGAAACATTATCTGTGATTATGACATAGGTCAGCTTGGTGATAACAATTAAATAAATCCAGCTCATCAGTCCATCTGATAAACAGATTAGAAACCCCCAAGATTACCAAGTGTTTCATTCATTATAAGGAGGAGGCCAATTGCACCATTGTACTCGGCTCTATAAACAACATTTATGGAAACAAGACTGCTCTTTGCCTAGAATGATCAAATAATGTTCTTGGTTCAAACTGGTCAACAAGAAGATATGGAAAGGGGTTTCCCAAACAGCTTCTCCAACAGCGATGTGAATAGATGAGAAACTTCAGTCAATTATTGTTTGGTTACAAGATGTGGCCCTTCATTCTACATCCTAAATCATTTTTGGTAATTTTGACCCCATCAAAATCACTAGTCTTACCTGGGGAAAAAATAAGGTAACCTTTTCTGACTCATATTTGAGAAATCTCCTTTTCCTATATACCATAGCACAGGCATTTAAGTTGAAGGAAAAATGTGAAAATTCTACTTGCTATTTATATTTCAATATACAAAATTTGTCATCTACTACAAACAAATAAATTTCCCAACTTGTGTCTCTGGAAACTTCTTATTGTTTATATAGAAAAGCTATGTAATTTTAATAAATCCAAGGAAATAATGCTATTTGTTGTAACAACTATACTTACAGAATTTTAGCTTATTAAATGTGGAAATTGTTATATATTATTGTAAAATAATATATAGTACTTATAGAAAATAAAAATATATTTTATGTATTCATATTATTTATAAGTATAATTGTATAAATATATTTTTTACTACATATGTGAAATAAAAATTGAGGTTTTACCATAAATTTTATGGAATAACAAGAGCATTTGAATGGAGGGTGTTCTGAGTGGTTGGTTGAATAGAACACTTTTGTAATTAGAACTGAATTCTGTATTACTTTAGAGTTACAATAATCATAGTAAACATTTTCTTAACAAGGCTCAAACAGCTAGTTCTTATTTAATAGATACAAATTTCCATTCCAAGAATATTCCAAACTACAACTGGACCACATTTAAATACTCTTATTTACTCAGTTCATTTTACTCTGTCAAAAGAATGATATAGTACATTTTCCTGATGTTTGTTTTAAAAGTAGGTCAAAGAAATGGTAGGAGAAAAAGGAGATAGAGGGTTAGAAGGGGAATAACTTATTTTCAGAATCAAGGACCAGATGACTTAAAATGTTTGGTTCATAGAAATCAGGAGTAAAAACAATTTATTAGAATCATCTACCTACAGTTGTCCAAATAGGCCTATACCCACAGAGGGAAGCTTGAGCCAATCTAGTTTAAATGAGGTAAGAAAAAGAGTTTCCACCATTTCCTTTGAAAGGGTAATTTTCCCAGACTCCAACAAACCTCAGTGTTAGGAAATACTTCTTAATATACAACTTAATATTCTCTTGCTCGATTTCATTCAATTATTCCCAATTATTCACCCTCTGCTACATTTCTTATGTGTTTATTTCTTTTAAAAACTAGTTGCCTTCTCATACACTCCCTTAATGTCCACCCATTCAAGCTACATTTAGTCCTTTATGATTTCATTATGATTGAATTCCTCCAGTCAAAGGTATTTATTTTTCTTATATCAAACTGATTTTTTTGGTGGAAGGTAGAGCTGTGAAGTGAGTGTTTTAATTATGCTCTTATAAGTTGTATGAAGAAAGTGTAAACACTGAATGTCTCACATTGTAGCCTAAGACAACATACTCCTGAAAATCAGATACTGAGAGCTTTCTAATGTTAACCATTTGTTACATCTCTTCCTTTTGAATATTCAAAGACTTTGAATTTTTGGTGTAAATTTCAAGTGACCTTTGTTGTGCAAAAAGTGCAACTTTTCATGATGATGCTGGGTTTGCCAAATAGAATGAGAATTACATGTTATTTGCCTTTGAGCTGCTATTTTTCACAAGCTTTGTAACTATTTCAATTATATTTAAATTACAAAAATGATCACAACAAAAATACAATACACTTAATGGAAAACGGAAGAACTAACACTGTCTTTGGGTGCACAGGCTTACAATAAAACAATAAATGGCCGGGCGCAGTGGCTCACGCCTGTAATCCCAGCACTTTGGGAGGCCGAGGCGGGTGCATCACGAGGTCAGGAGATCGAGACCATCCTGGCTAACACGGTGAAACCCGTCTCTACTAGAAGAAAAAAAAAAAATAGCTGGGCGTGGTGGCGGGCACCTGTAGTCCCAGCTACGCAGGAGGCTGAGGCAGGAGAATGGCGTGAACTCGGGTGAACCCGGGAGAGGGAGCTTGCAGTTAGCTAAGATGCGCCACTGCACTCCAGCCTGGGCGACAGAGCGAGACTCCGTCTCAAAAACAAAACAAAACAAAACAAAAAAACACACAATAAATGACTTAAATTGTCATTATTTTGTGTTAATAGAACCTTGGACTGAAATGACAAAGATAGTATTCGAAATTGATTTTCTTTTACTTCTAGGTAAGAAGACTGGTGGTGCTGCTGGAATAAAAGGAGTGATGGAAGACAGGTGAGGGTGTGAGGAGAAAAGGTAAGAACAAAGTCTTTAACAGCAGTTTGGAGGATAAAATGCCCTTTACTTAGGAGCGAGGTCTTAGAACGCTGAAATCAGTGTTTGCAAAGGACAAGAGACCCAGAGGAGGTCCGCTTAATGCTATCCCAAATCCCAAGCCAACAACCTCCCACCCGCTTGATATCTTTCAGCATTCTTTCCTCCTTCTCAGCAGTTTCTTTTTTTTACCTGTATTTGGAGCTGGCTTTTAAGAGATTGAAGTTTTATCCTTTGTGGGAAAGTTCAAATTTTAAAACATTTTGAAGATAAAAAGACTTCAAGTATACAGAAAATACCTTTAAACAAAATGTTATTTATGTAGATAATTATATAGATAATTACAGTGTTGTTGGGGGTGGCTTGTATTAGTTAGGGTTCTCTCGAGAAAGAACCAATGGGATATATATGTGTGTGTGTATGTTTGTGTATATGTGTATATGTATATATACACACGTATATCTTTTTGTGTGTATGTGTGCTTTTGTACACACACACACACATAGACACACACATACACAGACATATATGTATATATACACCCAAAGATATTTATTATTAGGAACTGGCTCATGTGATTCTGGAGGCTGAGAAGTCCCACAATGTGCCATCTGCAAGTTGGATGCCCAGGAAAGTGGATGGTAGAGTTTTAGACCAAACCCAAAGGCCCAAGAACCTGGAGAGCCAATGTCTAAGGGCAAGAGAGGATGAATGCATTAGCTCAGAGAGCAAACTTGCCCTTCCTCTGCATTTTGTTCAGGCCCTCAGTGGATTGGATAATGTCCAGCTGTATTGGTGAGGACAGTCTTCTTTATTCAGTCTACCAGTTCAAATGCTAATCTTTTCTAGAAACACTCTTATGAACATGCCCAGAAATCAAGTTTAACAGTTCTTTGGGCATTCAGTTAAGTTGATACACAAATTTTAACCATCACTTGGGGTCAGCCCACCTCAGCCACCCAAGTTTCAATTGTCTCCTAAATGTCCAAAGTTATATATATAATGAAAAAAATGTCTGCAATTGTCAGAAATGTGTAGAACTGATTTCAGTACATGAAACCTGATATGGTTTGGCTCTGTGTCCCCACCCAAATCTCATCTTGTAGCTTCCATAATTCTCACATGTTGTGAGAGGCACCCGGTGGGAGATAATTGAATCATGGGGGCAGGTCTTTCCCATGCTGTTCTCTTGATAGTGAATGGGTCTTACAAGATCTGATGTTTTTAAAAACAGGAGTTTCTCTGCACACACCCTCTCTTTGCCTGCTGCCACGCACGTTAAGATGTGACTTGCTCCTCCTTGCATTCTACCATGATTGTGAGGCCTCCTCAGCCATGTGGAACTGTAAGGCCAATAAACGTCTTTCTTTTGTAAATTGCCCAGTCTCAGGTATGCCTTTATCAGCAGTATGAAAACAGACTAACATAAAACCAGTTATGCAAATTGGCAAGTATGTTTGAGTAAGGATTCTTTGTTTCCCTAACAGTCTTAACATTGAAACTTTTTCATCTTGGTAGGAAATGGAAGCAAGAAAAAATTATGAGGATCAACTTTTTTGAAAGATCAATCATTGTCTTGTCCTGATATTCTTTGCCTTCTTCAACAATTTTTGTTTTGTTAAACCTCTGCAGTAGTATACTATCACAACCCTTAAATTTGCCATATGAACAAATTTATTTATGTCTCTTCTTGAAAATCATGAGTCTACTCACCAGAATAAGTATTAAGAACAATGGTGCTTTTGAATCGAATGAATAGTGCAATATTTTACTGGTGACACTCATAATAGGGTGAGCATTGCAAATACTACAAACATTAATATAACCTGTGGTCCTCACACTACACTTTGAAATTTGTTTTTGCAATTCACCAGTAATTGAATACAATCAATCAATCATGTTCCATTACATATGTTAATTCAAATATTTGTAACTTTATTGCATTTTGAAATTTGCTGTCTAACTAGATTGCCAGTGCTATCCCAGAATGCACAAAGAAAAGAAAGCACTGATACAGAAATCAAAATAGAAAGTAAAAACTCTGAGTGTAGTTGTGGCTGAGGGTTAGGGGGCAATAGTGTAGAAAGGAAAGCTGGGATAGAAATGGTGCATGTTAATTCATATAGCAACTGCATTCATCCATTTGAGGTAATGCAAACTCATGATAAAAGTAAAATGACCAAATCCAATTATATGCATCAATTCTATCTTCTTGAGCAATTATCATTCTTTTGTAAACTGCAATTTTGGCCACTTGTGTGTACCAACCCTTAATTGTCAGTAATTCTCTAGTTTTCTAGCATTTTGTAATGAGATATTTAGCACACAACACTGCTGCTGCCAGCTATTTACATCGTGGAATTGAATTATCGAATAGACATTAAAAAAAACCATGGGAGGCAGCCACTTACAGCATTCTTAAATATTTTATTCTTTTATTTGATATTTAAAGACGGCAGATTCTTGCCAGAATATGTAGTGATCTTAAGGTCCCAGACCATAGCTGCTACCTTCCTTTCCATGTCACAGTCTCATCAAGAATTACAGAAAGTTCTCTCTTTTATTAAATAATCCTGATACAGACAGGGAAAATATGACTGCATCTACTGGTTATTTACGTATTATTAAAACTCTTCATTTTTCTCAGAAATAGTAGGAATAGATACTGGTCATAATGTACAAACCAAGCTTTCAAAAGGTGTCTGTATGTACTCCAAAGGACTGTAGTCTTTAATGTGTTTCTCCATATAATTGAGTCAGCCGATGGGTGAAAATGTTGAGGGATTACTAATGTCATGGGAATCCAGGGTGGGTATGGTGGGGAAGATTACCTAGATGATTTCACATTTTCTTTCAAAAGAAGGCCGTGTCACCCATTCTTCTCAAAGACACCTAATGACTTTCCAAGAGCCACTTTCAGTGGCATTTTAAATTGGTTAGTAAAAGTGACGCTGATGGTAGTGGAGGAGAGCTGGTCCTGGGCATGGGACATTTGGCTTCTCCTGTGCCTCTGCTCCTCGCTAGCTATGCAATTCATTTACATTGCCTGGGATGTGAGTTTGATGTTGAAGAGATTGAGTTCAATTTGTAAATACTTTCAAATCTCAAATTTTCTTAACTGCTAGTAATCTATGAGTTGTGTATTTTCGTAAGCATTTCCCAAGCTTTCAGATGAGCTCGTGGTTACTCGAAGCTAATTTTGTGTAGTCCTTACCATTTTCTGATTGCCCATTCTTGTGTTTGTTGCCTTTTTTAAAGTGAATTTTAAAAAGTCTGAATATGAGCGATTTTGGAATTAATCCTTTTCTTACTTCTTTTATTGTTTGACCCTATTTTTTTCTCCTATTATTTTTGGACTGCTAAATTGAAAACACATTTAAAAATTTTTTGTTTCCTGATCTCTCCAAGTTTGGAATGCCTTATGTTAGACTTTGATCTTGTTTGCTTGATCTCATAATGTTCCATTTTGTCCATGGTCATCCTGAGAAGATCTTTCTGAAATCAGCATTCTGCTCACCCTATTCTTTTTGCATTTTCTTTATTGCATATTCATCAAGGCCTAAATTCTCTATTCAGATTTGGAATCTCTTCCAACTTACATTGTAATTCTTATTTATTTCTTAGGTTTAAATAACATTCCATTTAGTCCATTTATGTCTGGATGTCCACTACCTTATGTCCAGAACTAAATGTATTCCCTTCCCTCCCATGACATATGGTTATATATATTGGTTTTCATCCACGGTTCCTGGCTCATAACTTCCATAGCCCTTGTTGCAGTCTGTTGTAATGTTGGGGGCACTTTAGGCCCCAGAAGGAGGCCTTCGAAAACATAACCTCTCTCTCTCTAAACTTTTGCTGCCCTCCTTTTGCTTGCCCAAAGCAGGACTCTAATCTTTCTCTGACTTTCTGATTGTGAGTAATAAGACCCTCATTTCAGAAAGGGTCCTTCCCATGCCCCAGAGGAAGAAATGCTGCATAGAGAGGCCAAGAAGAATCTGGACAGAACTTGCTGGGTTTCCCCACTCAGCCTATGAACATTAGATCATACCCTTTTTGTTCAATCATTTCTATGCAGTGGTCAGTCATGCCTATCCAATGAGGTCTCCATAAAAGGTCCTGGAGTGTGGTGTGCCCAGGTGCATAAAAGCTCTGTGTCCCTTCTCTCATACCTCACCCCATGCATCTCTTCATGTGTATACTTTGTAATAAGCCAGTAAACATAAGTGTTTTTCCTGAGTTCTGTGAGCTGCTCTAGCAAATTAATTGAACCCCAAGATGGGGTCATGGGAACCTCAACTTGAAGTAGGTCAGTCAGTTCTGGAGAATGCAACTGGTACATGCAACTGGTAGGAAGTGAGGTAGAGGACAGTCTTGCAGGACTGAGCCCTCAACCTATGGGATCTGACACTATCTCCAGGTAGATAGTGTTGGAATTGAATTGGAGGACAACCAGCTGGGTGTGCTGCAGAACTGATGGCTTGCTTGGTATATGGGGAGAAACCCCTGCATTCAGAAGTCTTTTGTGATGATTTTTGTGGTGTGAAAGCAGAAGAAAACAGCTCATTTTCTTTTTAATTTTTTCAGACTACCCCAACATTTCTTTTTTTCTTAGATAATAATATCATTATCCACAGTCTTTGCTGCTAGAAATTTTGGCAGCACCCTCAGCCTCTCCTTTCCTATTCATCTTCCAATGGGTCAGCATCCCCATTGCCACAGCCTTGGCTTGTACATTCCCATTTCAATTCATATCCTTCCCTCACTTCCAGAGATGTAAACTTTATAGAGTTAAGCTGTGTAAAGGGAGTTCCAAAAGATTGAAGATGCTTGTGGGAGGGATGTTGGCATCTCTTTTCTCAGCTGGTCATTTGGCCAGGCAGCTGACTTGTTCATTTGCCCTGCATCTACCTGGGCAGAGCAAAAGTAATTTGAGAGAAAGAGATGACAGCACAGAGCAAAAGAAGAGTGGCAGAGCAGCCATCACGAAAGTGCATGAGTTCTCTTTGGGTCAAGGGGCATCACAGAGGCCCGGAGGCTGGAGCAAATGACTCACAAAGGGACTGTGATAATTTGATGGGGGCAGGAGCTAAAAGATTTGGAAGACATTGAGATGGAGCTGTTTGGTGTCTGTACACAGAGATTCACAACAGCCAGAGGAACAGAGACCAGCAGCCCCAAGAGATGTATATAGAATTAGGCCTTGAAAAGGGAAGGTGCAGGATGTGTCTGTGGGTGGAGCTGTGTCTCTGAGCATATCATAGCCCCAGAAACAAGATCAAAAAGGGGACTTAAGCTTTCCTTCTTCAGGTCTCTGCAGCCATACAGCTGGGCTGCAGTGGATCTCTTTAAATGTGGTAGAAAAAAAGAAGTTTTAAACTGAAAATGAAGAATTGTAACTTTAATAACTGGAAGTGCTTGGGAGATTTTGAAATCTGCCCAAGATGTGATTTAGCATAGGTCCACGAGATAGGGAAACTTGACACAGTGCGAGGAGCAATGATAAAGACAAAAAACTGTACTTTCACCCCACCATTCTGAGACAATTGAAGAAACTATCTAGTTATCACTTAACCACACTGTATGACGTTTTTTTACTTACGTGTCTATTTCCCTAGCCAGGGTCTCTGTATCCCTAGTACTTTGCATTTCATATATGCTCAAAAATATCTATTGAATTAATGGGGGATAACATGTACAAATAAGTCACTCTTTGAATCAGTATACCAAGGGAGATGTGAGGGACACAAAAAGGGGAATAATTAGGCAAAAATGACCTGCAATTTTTAAGGTGATAAGTGCTATTTAAGTAGTGAAACATGTATATTCATAGCTAAAAATGACATTCATAATTAGTTGACTGTATGTATCCCATCCTTCTTCCCTCTCTATCTTCACCTCCCTTTTAATCTAAAATCTTCCACCTCTACAAAAGACATGCAATTGCTATTATGCTTTAGAATGCCATTTACTTTGGTTGTAGTCTCTTGACTGGCTATTTTTGTATGTTAACCAACACTTACCTGTGTGAAGATGATATGTAAAACCGAATTAAAAGAGGCCATTGTTTCTTCTAGGTCAACATTTTCCCTTCTTTACATTTTTTAATGCAATATTCTCAAATCATCTGACATAGTTCCCTTATTTGGTTTTGAAACTGCAAATATGAACTTTTCATGATTTTAGACTCATGTCTGTGTGAAGCTCTTTCAGAAGATCGAGTATATGTTACTTTTCTTCTTTAAAAAATTGTACTTTCCATTGCTTTCTGCTTTAGAGCAGCAAACCAATACTGCCATCCACTGTTTCTTTGAATAATCTTTTCCCCACAGTTCTCACCAAGATGTTTTGAAGAAAAACCTGACAATAAAATTAAATCCTTTGCAAGGAAGGGGAGTTTGTTAATTTTGAGCAAGCACTGCCTCAACTATCATAAAGGAATCAAACATGACTTATCTTCTTTTTCCAAATACCTCCTTGGAGGAGAAACATTAAAAAATGTGACCAAGACCACGAGCAGTCTGTAGAGTCAACTTTTTTCTGGGTAGCACAGGAGGGAAAAATTACCTAGTTCCTCTTTGCTCACTGTTGAACTTTGCTTCATTCACCCCCGGGCTCAGGGCCATCTCTCACCCCAGTCACATTCTAATGCTTCAGGAGGAAAGCCAGTCTTCTCCAAGCCAGCAAACAGGGTGCCTCTGTCTGTCTTACATTCCCATCAAAGAGGTTCCAGAGAGGAGCACATATTCCTCATATATAAATGTCTAACTGATTTTATTCCTTTCTGTTCTGCTCCACATCTATTCCACCTTTACTGTGTATCTCTTTTTAGTCTTAGTCTTTTCATTTCAACTAATACATTTGTTACTAAGATTATGAGAAATTCTTTATTTTCTTCCCATATGAAATAGAATGGACCCTTTAAATGACACAGCTCAACTCAAGGGGCCAAGATTTAAGGCAGATAAAGTCATTGCTACAAGGCCTTGAGATGACCCGGTCCAATTCCCTGATTCTACAAGTGAAGAAACTGAGACCCAGAGAGAAGTGAAACATCTAGAGCCATGGAATCAGTCAATAGCAAAGCCAGTAACAAAACCTGCCTCTCAACCCGTGGTCAAATATTATTTTCCTGCAAAATGCACCTTCTAGAAGCACAGTTCATATTTCTGCCCCTGGGCTACAGACATTTTAAATGGCATTTAAAAAAACATAAACCTCCCTGCAGGCATCTTTGTTCCTCCATGCCTCTCATCACTCCTCTTGCCTCTCACCTCCTGAAAAAGCAAGTTGCCTAGGTTGAGAAAGGATCGGCAACAGTCAACTTCTTTGTCCATTTCCCTCAGGAGAGGAGAAGGTATGGGAACTAGTGGCCTGGAAAGGGGAACAGGGAGGAGGACTGTCTGTCTTTTTGTCCTGTTTTAGTAAGAGGACAATTGAATGTTATTTTACTTATCTAGATTTATAGCTTCTGCTCTAGGAGACATCAATTCCTTCATTCACTCAGGCACCATTTACGTCCGAACTGTTCTTTAGATTTATGCAGGTCATATCTCCTTATTATCTTTGAAATAGCCCTAAAGCAGGCTGAGTGGTAATACTAGAAAGCTGAGCATCTCACTCAGTGTTTATTCAATGTTATTCATTCAGAAAACATAACCTGCTTTAATAAACACACAAATATGTGTTTCCTGTTCCCATCAGATGCCCATTCAGTGAGGGGTTACAACTTTTGTCTTTATGGATTGACGTTGTATGGATGTGAGACTGAGCCATACAAAGCTTTACTGCAAATGATGATGGGACTGGAGTGCTTTAAGAAAAATCATTGTTTTCTCTTAACAGTTTTTTCCTAAATAAGTGAGTATTAAAGATGAAAGTGATTTAGACAATCTATTGGAGGCTGGTAGGTATAAAATACATTGTGAAAGGACCACAGTGGGTAGAAAAGGGCACCAATTAGTTTGGTTGTAAGGTAAAAGGTAGGAAGAAAATGACTATTTACCAAAATCCTATTATGTACCAGGCATTGTGTAAGAAATTTTGAACATGTTATCCCATTCTTCATAAAGCTGTGGAAGTCATTCTAATTATATTCACTTTTCCGATGAATAAACTAAGACTAGGAGAACAAGGGACTTCCTTGAGGTTACTTAGCAGATAAGAGTCAAGATGAGGAACGTGTCCAGGTGTGTCTAAAGAGATGGCTTACAGAAGCAAGTGAGCTTAAGGCACACACTGGCAACAGGAAGTCAATTTACTTGTCTGGAGGGGAGATTTCATAAGGAATATTGAGGTAGGGGCCTAGTAAGATTGAAACCCTGAATGCTACATTAAAATTACTTGATTTTATTCTGTACACAATGAGGAATTATTGGTGCTTTTTAAGATTGGAAGGGTCATCGAAGTTGTGTTTTAGGGAAAGAAGTCTGGGAGTCTTGTGCAAAGTGGACATTGCGAACAATAAGACCAAGTTAAATACTATTACAATAGCCCAGAAATGATACAACAGTGGCCCCCCTTATCCATGGTTTCGCTTCCTGTGTTTTCAGTTACCCTTAGTCAACCACAGTCTGAAAACAAGTGACTACAGCAGAATAAGATATTTTCAGAGAGCGAGAGAGGCAATGAATTTCATTACAGGATGTTGTTATCATTGTACTGTTTCATGATTAGTTATTGTTAATCTTTTATTGTGCCTAAATTAAACTTTCTGTAGGTATATGTGTATTGGAAAAAACATAATATAAACAGTCAACTCTTTGTATCTGTGGATCCTACATCTGCAGATTCAACCAACTGCAAATAAAAAATATTTTTTAAAAAAATTCAGCAATAAAAATCATACAAATAAATAATACAGTATAACAACAATTTACATAGCATTTACTTTGCATTAGGTATTATAAGTAATCTAGAGATTATTTCAAGTATTTGGGAAGATGTACCCTAGGCTATATGTAAATAATATGCCATTTTATATAAGAGACTTGAGCTGTTTTATATTTTGGTATCTGCAGTGGGGGGGTCCTAGAACCAGTCCCCTCCCCAGGATACTGAGAGAAGAATGTATAGGGTTTGGTACTATCCTTGATTTCAGGCATTCACTAGGGTCTTGGAATGTATTCCTAACACATAAAGGGGGACTACTATAATAGGAAGATAAAAAGAAATGATATAGGGTGACCTACTTCTTAGTTTGTTGAACCTGCTATAACAGAATACCATAGACTGGGTGGCTTATACACAATGGAAAACTGTTTCTCACAGTTCTGAAGGCTGGGAAGTCCAAGAACAAAGCTCCAGAAGACTCAGTATCTGGTGAGGGCAAGCTTCCTGGTTCATAGACAACTGTCTTCTTGCTGTAGCTTACATGGCAGAAGGGGCAAGTGAGTTCTCTGGGGCCTCTTTCATAAGGACACTAATCCCACTCATAAGGGCTCTTCATGACCTAATTCCCTACCAAAGGCCCCACCTCCAAATATCACATTGGGCCTTAGGATTTAACATATGAATTTTGGAGGGACACAAACATTCAATATAGCACCTTAAATTAACACATAATGACCTGACAATGTCATTAATTAATTAATTCCACAATATTTATCACTGTTGTAGGTATTGGCATCTTACACTTCAATAAGGAACCTATTTTTAAAGATTAAACATTTTATTTTGAAACATGGATCTATATGCAAGTTATAGGAAATAATGAAGAGAAATTCTGTTTCCTCTTTTCCCAGTTTCTCCTAATGATAATATCTTGCAAAATTATTATACAATATCACAACCAGGATACTGACATTAATACATTCTCATGATCTTATTCGGATTTCCCCAGGTTTACTTGTACCCCTATGTTTTTTTAAAATTCTTATTTATTCTACAGGCCTAGTACTTGTTACTATGTTTAGTTAATCCGTTTCTATCATAAATCCTCATCAGTTCTCTAGTTCACCACAAAGAGAGTCTAAGAACCTTGTTAAATGCACCACTGATCACCCTTTCCTTCACTCAGGTCCCAAACCAATATTCTCAAACTGTGTTTAAAACTTACTTCTTGTAGTTAAAACCTGCTTCTGCTTTCCTTCAGCTGGTTTTTATCTATCCTGAAAGTTTTGGAAAACTTGTTAGGCTTTTTCCTGTCATTCCAATAAATACAATCCGTTAATTTACTGGAATAGTGTTCATCTTAGAAAGCCATGTATTCTCTTGGTCTCAAGACACATTCTTCTCTCCTGCAAGGATCTGTCTATATTATGGCCTCCAAATGCAACATACCAGACTGATAGATGTTATTTCTTATTCAAATTGAGCATTGTGACTTTGGGTGTTATTTCTAATGTCTCTGGGCCTCTCAATATTATTGCCAGATTTTATTGAGGTATAATAGGCAAGTAGCAATTTTATGTATATATGTAAAGTAGACAATGTGATATTTTGATATACACATACATCATGAAATGATTACCATTATCAAGATAATTAACATATCTGCCACATGACAAAATGCTTTTTTTTTGTGGTGACAACATCTAAGATCTACTCTCTTGGCAAATTTCAAGTATACAATACAATGTTATTAACTATAGTCACTATGCTATACATTACATGTCCAGAATTTATTCATCCCATACAACTTTGTGCCTTTTGACCAACATCTCCCCCTTTCCCCAACCCAGCTTCTATTAATCACCTTCATATTCTCTACTTCTGTAAGTTCCATTTCTTTAGATTTCACATGTAGCTGTGATCATGCAATATTTGTCTTTCTGTGCCTCACTTATTTCACTTAGCAAATGTCCTCTAGTTTCATCCAAGTTGTCAAAATGACAGGATTTTCTTTTCTTAAAGCTAAATAATATTGTATTGTGTATATATATCACATTTTCTCCATCCAGTCATCCACTGATGGACACTTGGGTTGATTCTGTATCTTGGCCATTGTGAATAATGCTGCAATGAACATGGGAGTGCAGATATCTTTTCCACATGCTGATTTAGTTTCCTTTGGATATAAATCCAGAAGTAGGATTGCTGGATCATATGGTAGTACTGTTTTAAATTTTTTGAGGAACCTCCATACTGTTTTCTATATTGGCTGTACTAATTTACATTCTCATTAACAGTGTACAGGGTTCCCTTTCTCTACATACTCACCAACACTTGTTAGCTTTTGTCTGTTTTCTAATAGCTATTCTACCAGGCATGAAGTGGTGTCTTACTGAGTTTTCAATTGGCATTTGCCTAGTGATTAGTGATGTTGAACAGTTTTTTCATATACCTATTGGCCAGTTGCATGCCTTCTTTTGGGAAAGTTTGGTTAGACCCCTTGCACTTTTTTAAATTGAGTTTTTGTTTTCTTGTGATTGAGTTGTTTGAATTCCTTACACATTTTGGATATTAACCCCTCATCAGATGTGTGGTTTGCAAACATTTTTTTCCCTATTTTGTAGGTTGTCTTTTCAGTCTCTTGATTCTATCCTTTGCTGTGGTAAGTTTTTAGTTTGATGGAATCTAATCTGTCTATTTTTGCTTTTGTTGTGTATGCTTTTGGGATCATATCCAAAGTAATCATTGCCCAGATCAATACTAATAAGTTTTTTCTTATTTTTTTTTTCTAGTAGTTTTGCCTTTTTAGGTCTTACATTTAAGTCTTAAATCATTTGGAGTTGACTTTTGTATATGATGTGAGACAAAGGTCCAGTTTCATTCTTCTACAAGTGGATATTCAGTTTTTCAAAAATATTTATTGAAGAGACCGTCCTTTCCCCACTGTATGTTCTTGGCATCTTTGTTGAAGATCAATTGATAATAAATGTGTGGATTTATTTCTAGGCTCTCTATTCTGTTCCATTGGTCTATATGTCTGTTTTAATGCCAGTATCATGATGTTTTCATTACTATATCATCATAGTATGTGTTTAAATTAGGTGGTGTGATACCTCTAATTTTGTTCTTCTTGTTCAAGATTGCTTTGGCTATTATGCATCTTTTGTGGTTCTATATGAATTTTAAGATTTTTTTCCCATTTCTTTGAAAAATTTCATTGAAATTTTTATAGGGGTTGCATTGAATCCATAGATCATTTGGATAGTATGGAAATTTTAATATTAACTGCATAAATTCTTAGAAAATTTCAACCTACCAAGACTGAATAATGTAGAAATAGAAAATATGAACAGAACAATAATGAGTAAGGAAATTGAATCAATAATAAAAAAATCTTTCTACAAAGAAAATCCCAGGAACTGATGGTTTTACTGGTAAATTCTGCCAAACATTTAAGGAAGAAATAATCCAATTCTTCTCAAACTCTTCCAAAAAATTGAAGAAGTGGAAACATGTCCAAACTTATTTTATGAGGCATCACCCTGATACCAAAGGCAAACAAGGACATTACAAGAAAAGAAAATTATAGGCCAATATCCCTGATGAACATAACTACAAAAAATACTCAACAAAATACTAGCAATTCAAATTCAACAGCACATTAAAATGATCATACACCATAATCAAGTAAGATTTATCCCTTGGATGCAAGTATGTTTCAACATATGCAAACCAAGAATTGTGATACACCATAACAATGAAGGATAAAAAATTTTATGATCATTTCAATAAACATAGAGTAAGTATTTGACAAAATCCAACAAACTTTCATGATTAAAAACTCTCACAAATTAGATATAGGGGAAATGTACCTCAACATAATAAAGGCAATAGTGACAAGCCCACAGCTAACATCATACTTAGTGGTGAAAAGCTGAAAGCTTTTCCTCTAAGATCAGGAGCAAAACAAGGATGCCCACTCTCTCCACTTCTGTTCAATATAGTATAAGAAGTCCTAGTCAGAACAATTAGGCCAGAAACAAAAAGACATCCAAATTAAAAAGGAAGAAATAAAATTATCTGTTTGCAGATGATGTTATTTTATATTTAGAAAATCCTAAAGATTATACAAAAATTGCCAGAACTAATAAACTAATTAATTAAAGTTGCAAGATGAAAAGTTAACATGTAGGCTGGGCGCAGTGGCTCACGCCTATAATCCCAACATTTTGGGAGGCCGAGGCAGGTGGATCACCTGAGGTTGGAGTTCGAGAGCAGCCTGACCAACATGGAGAAACCTCGTCTCTACTAAAAATACAAAATTAGCCGGGCGTGGTGGCACATGCCTGCAATCCCAGCTACTCAGGAGGCTGAGGCAGGAGAGTAGCTTAAACCCGGGAGGCGGAGGTTGCAGTGAGCCAAGGTCACGCCACTGCACCCAGCCTGGGCAACAAGAGCGAAACTCTGTCTCAAAAAAAAAAAAAAAAGTTAACGTGTAAAAATCACTTGTGTTTCTGTACATTAACAACAAACTACCGTCTCCTCCCAAATTAAAAAAAAAAAAACCTACCCCATTTGTAAGCATTAAATAATTAGGAATAAATTTAACCAGGGAGGTGAAAAATCTGTATACTAAAAATATCAAAATATTAATGAAAGAAATTGAAGAAGACACCAATAACTGGAAAGCTATTCCTTTCACTCAAAACTGGCATGATGCTGTGGGGCACTGACTGCATCTTCCACCCTTTCACTCTTGTTTTCTACTACTTTTTGTCCCGTTCATCATCCAAGGCTCTCATTTTTCTGCTGATATCTCCTAAGACCTTCTTTTCAGAGAGGATCTACAGGCTCCTACATGGTTCATGCAGCTAACAAAGAGAAGCAAATACATGGAACTGGTGGCAACTAGGGTTTCCTGTCTATGGGAAGCAGCATAATGTGAAGAGGACTAGTTCAGAAAGCAGACTGTCTGGATTTGAACCCAAGCTCTGGCACTTACTGGCTATGTGATCTTGGGCAAATTAATTTCCATCTCTGAGGCTCATTTTCTTCATTTGTAATATGAGGATAAGTAACAATACCGTCCCAGGAGCATTAATTTAAATATTAGATAAGCAAATATAACTAAAGCACATAGCATAGTGTTTGGTACAAAATAAGCATCAACTTTTGTTGTCAGAATTTTAAGTCATAGATATGCATGTCATATGACATTCATATGGCACCTATAGGCCTCCCGATGGCTAGATTATTTTTAGAAATTGTCTTTTCTTATTTACCAAGTCTTTTTTACCCTGTGTCATAATTGCTGCTTTGCTAGATAATATGGTAAGATTTTTTTTTTCTGTAGAGAATTTCAGATTGGAATTTTTTTTTCTGTCCCTAGCTTAATTTTATTTTATTTATTTATTTATTTTTTTAATTTTTATTTATTTATTTATTTTTTATTATTATACTTTAAGTTTTAGGGTACATGTGCACATTGTGCAGGTTAGTTACATATGTATACATGTGCCATGCTGGTGCGCTGCACCCACTAACTCATCATCTAGCATTAGGTATATCTCCTGATGCTATCCCTCCCTCCCTACCCCCACCCCACAACAGTCCCCAGAGTGTGATATTCCCCTTCCTGTGTCCATGTGATCTCATTGTTCAATTCCCACCTATGAGTGAGAATATGCGGTGTTTGGTTTTTTGTTCTTGTGATAGTTTACTGAGAATGATGATTTCCAATTTCATCCATGTCCCTACAAAGGACATGAACTCATCATTTTTTATGGCTGCATAGTATTCCATGGTGTATATGTGCCACATTTTCTTAATCCAGTCTATCATTGTTGGACATTTGGGTTGGTTCCAAGTCTTTGCTATCGTGAATAATGCCACAATAAACATACGTGTGCATGTGTCTTTATAGCAGCATGATTTATAGTCCTTTGGGTATATACCCAGTAATGGGATGGCTGGGTCAAATGGTATTTCCAGTTCTAGATCCCTGAGGAATTGCCACACTGACTTCCACACTGGTTGAACTAGTTTACAGTCCCAAGAACAGTGTAAAAGTGTTCCTATTTCTCCACATCCTCTCCAGCACCTGTTGTTTCCTGACTTTTTAATGATTGCCATTCTGACTGGTGTGAGATGGTATCTCTTTGTGGTTTTGATTTGCATTTCTCTGATGGCCAGTGATGGTGAGCATTTTTTCATGTGTTTTTTGGCTGCATAAATGTCTTCTTTTGAGAAGTGTCTGTTCATGTCCTTCACCCACTTTTTGATGGGGTTTTTTGTTTTTTTCTTGTAAATTTGTTTGAGTTCATTGTAGATTCTGCATATTAGCCCTTTGTCAGATGAGTAGGTTGCGAAAATTTTCTCCCATTTTGTAGGTTGCCTGTTCACTATGATGGTAGTTTCTTTTGCTGTGCAGAAGCTCTTTAGTTTAATTAGATCCCATTTGTCAATTTTGTCTTTTGTTGCCATTGCTTTTGGTGTTTTAGACATGAAGTCCTTGCCCATGCCTATGTCCTGAATGGTAATGCCTAGGTTTTCTTCTAGGGTTTTTATGGTGTTAGGTCTAACGTTTAAGTCTTTAATCCATCTTGAATTGATTTTTGTATAAGGTGTAAGGAAGGGATCCAGTTTCAGCTTTCTACATATGGCTAGTCAGTTTTCCCAGCACCATTTATTAAATAGGGAATCCTTTCCCCATTGCTTGTTTTTCTCAGGTTTGTCAAAGATCAGATAGTTGTAGATATGCGGCGTTATTTCTGAGGTCTCTGTTCTGTTCCATTGATCTATATCTCTGTTTTGGTACCAGAACCATGCTGTTTTGGTTACTGTAGCCTTGTAGCATAGTTTGAAGTCAGGTAGCATGATGCCTCCAGCTTTGTTCTTTTGTCTTAGGATTGACTTGGCGATGCAGGCTCTTTTTTGGTTCCATATGAACTTTAAAGTAGTTTTTTCCAATTCTGTGAAGAAAGGCATTGGTAGCTTGATGGGGATGGCATTGAATCTGTAAATTACCTTGGGCAGTATGGCCATTTTCACGATATTGATTCTTCCTACCCATGAGCATGGAATGTTCTTCCATTTGTTTGTATCCTCTTTTATTTCCTTGAGCAGTGGTTTGTAGTTCTCCTTGAAGAAGTCCTTCACATCCCTTGTAAGTTGGATTCCTAGGTATTTTATTCTGTTTGAAGCAACTGTGAATGGGAGTTCACTCATGATTTGGCTCTCTGTTTGTCTGTTGTTGGTGTATAAGAATGCTTGTGATTTTTGTACATTGATTTTGTATCCTGAGACTTTGCTGAAGTTGCTTATCAGCTTAAGGAGATTTTGGGCTGAGACAATGGGGTTTTCTAGATATACAATCATGTCGTCTGCAAACAGGGACAATTTGACTTCCTCTTTTCCTAATTGAATACCCTTTATTTCCTTCTCCTGCCTAATTGCCCTGGCCAGAACTTCCAACACTATGTTGAATAGGAGTGGTGAGAGAGGGCATCCCTGTCTTGTGCCAGTTTTCAAAGGGAATGCTTCCAGTTTTTGCCCATTCAGTATGATATTGGCTATGGGTTTGTCATAGATAGCTCTTATTATTTTGAAATACGTCCCATCAATACCTAATTTATTGAGAGTTTTTAGCATGAAGCGTTGTTGAATTTTGTCAAAGGCTTTTTCTGCATCTATTGAGATAATCATGTGGTTTTTGTCTTTGGCTCTGTTTATATGCTGGATTACCTTTATTGATTTGCGTATATTGAACCAGCCTTGCATCCCAGGGATGAAGCCCACTTGATCATGGTGGATAAGCTTTTTGATGTGCTGCTGGATTTGGTTTGCCAGTATTTTATTGAGGATTTTTGCATCAATGTTCATCAAGGATATTGGTCTAAAATTCTCTTTTTTTGTTGTGTCTCTGCCTGGCTTTGGTATCAGAATGATGCTGGCCTCATAAAATGAGTTAGGGAGGATTCCTTCTTTTTCTATTGATTGGAATAGTTTCAGAAGGAATGGTACCAGTTCCTGCTTGTACCTCTGGTAGAATTCGGCTGTGAATCCATCTGGTCCTGTACTCTTTTTGGTTAGTAAGCTATTGATTATTGCCACAATTTCAGATCCTGTTATTGGTCTATTCAGAGATTCAACTTCTTCCTGGTTTAGTCTTGGGAGAGTGTATGTGTCGAGGAATTTATCCATTTTTTCTAGATTTTCTAGTTTATTTGCGTAGAGGTGTTTGTAGTATTCTCTGATGGTAGTTTGTATTTCTGTGGGATTGGTGGTGATATCCCCTTTATCATTTTTTATTGCGTCTATTTGATTCCTCTCTCTCTTTTTCTTCATTAGTCTTGCTAGCGGTCTATCAATTTTGTTGATCCTTTCAAAAAACCAGCTCCTGGATTCATTAATTTTTTGAAGGGTTTTTTGTGTCTCTATTTCCTTCAGTTCTGCTCTGATTTTAGTTATTTCTTGCCTTCTGCTAGCTTTTGAATGTGTTTGCTCTTGCTTTTCTAGTTCTTTTAATTGTGATGTTAGGGTGTCAATTTTGGATCTTTCCTGCTTTCTCTTGTGGGCATTTAGTGCTATAAATTTTCCTCTACACTCTGCTTTGAATGTGTCCCAGAGATTCTGGTATGTTGTGTCTTTGTTCTCGTTGGTTTCAAAGAACATCTTTATTTCTGCCTTCATTTCGTTATGTATCCAGTAGTCATTCAGGAGCAGGTTGTTCAGTTTCCATGTAGTTGAGCGGTTTTGAGTGAGATTCTTAATCCTGAGTTCTAGTTTGATTGCACTGTGGTCTGAGAGATAGTTTGTTATAATTTCTGTTCTTTTACATTTGCTGAGGAGAGCTTTACTTCCAAGTATGTGGTCAATTTTGGAATAGGTGTGGTGTGGTGCTGAAAAAAATGTATATTCTGTTGACTTGGGGTGGAGAGTTCTGTAGATGTCTATTAGGTCTGCTTGGTGCAGAGCTGAGTTCAATTCCTGGGTATCCTTGTTGACTTTCTGTCTCGTTGATCTGTCTAATGTTGACAGTGGGGTGTTAAAGTCTCCCATTATTAATGTGTGGGAGTCTAAGTCTCTTTGTAGGTCACTCAGGACTTGCTTTATGAATCTGGGTGCTCCTGTATTGGGTGCATATATATTTAGGATAGTTAGGTCTTCTTGTTGAATTGATCCCTTTACCATTATGTAATGGCCTTCTTTGTGTCTTTTGATCTTTGTTGGTTTAAAGTCTGTTTTATCAGAGACTAGGATTGCAACCCCTGCCTTCTTTTGTTTTCCATTTGCTTGGTAGATCTTCCTCCATCCTTTTATTTTGAGCCTATGTGTGTCTCTGCACGTGAGATGGGTTTCCTGAATACAGCACACTGATGGGTCTTGACTCTTTATCCAATTTGCCAGTCTGTGTCTTTTAATTGGAGCATTTAGTCCATTTACATTTAAAGTTAATATTGTTATGTGTGAATTTGATCCTGTCATTATGATATTAGCTGGTTATTTTGCTCGTTAGTTGATGCAGTTTCTTCCTAGTCTCGATGGTCTTTACATTTTGGCATGATTTTGCAGCTGCTGGTACCGGTTGTTCCTTTCCATATTTAGCACTTCCTTCAGGAGCTCTTTTAGGGCAGGCCTGGTGGTGACAAAATCTCTCAGCATTTGCTTGTCTGTAAAGTATTTTATTTCTCCTTCGCTTATGAAGCTTAGTTTGGCTGGATATGAAATTCTGGGTTGAAAATTCTTTTCTTTAAGAATGTTGAATATTGGCCCCCACTCTCTTCTGGCTTGTAGGGTTTTTGCTGAGAGATCTGCTGTTAGTCTGATGGGCTTCCCTTTGAGGGTAACCCGACCTTTCTCTCTGGCTGCCCTTAACATTTTTTCCTTCATTTCAACTTTGGTGAATCTGACTATTATGTGCCTTGGAGTTGCTCTTCTCGAGGAGTATCTTTGTGGCATTCTCTGTATTTCCTGAATCTGAACGTTGGCCTGCCTTGCTAGATTGGGGAAGTTCTCCTGGATAATATCCTGCAGTGTGTTTTCCAACTTCGTTCCATTCTCCCCATCACTTTCAGGTACACCAATCAGACGCAGATTTGGTCTTTTCACATAGTCCCATATTTCTTGGAGGCTTTGCTCATTTCTTTTTATTCTTTTTGCTCTACACTTCCCTTCTCGCTTCATTTCATTCATTTCATCTTCCATTGCTGATACCCTTTCTTCCAGTTGATCGCATCAGCTCCTGAGGCTTCTGCATTCTTCACGTAGTTTTCGAGCCTTGGTTTTCAGCTCCATCAGCTCCTTTAAGCACTTCTCTGTATTGGTTATTCTAGTTATACATTCTTCTAATTTTTTTTCAAAGATTTCAACTTCTTTGCCTTTGGTTTGAATGTCCTCCCGTAGCTCAGAGTAATTTGATCGTCTGAAGCCTTCTTCTCTCAACTCGTCAAAGTCATTCTCCATCCAGCTTTGTTCCATTGCTGGTGAGGAACTGCGTTCCTTTGGAGGAGGAGAGGCGCTCTGCTTTTTAGAGTTTCCAGCTTTTCTATTTTGTTTTTTCCCCATCTTTGTGGTTTTATCTACTTTTGGTGTTTGATGAGGGTGATGTACAGATGGGTTTTTGGTGTGGATGTCCTTTCTGTTTGTTAGTTTTCCTTCTAACAGACAGGACCCTCAGCTGCAGGTCTGTTGGAATACCCTGCCGTGTGAGGTGTCAGTGTGCCCCTGCTGGGGGGTGCCTCCCAGTTAGGTTGCTGGGGGGTCAGGCGTCAGGGACCCACTTGAGGAGGCAGTCTGCCCGTTCTCAGATCTCCAGCTGTGTGCTGGGAGAACCACTGCTCTCTTCAAAGCTGTCAGACAGGGACATTTAAGTCTGCAGAGGTTACTGCTGTCTTTTTGTTTGTCTGTGCACTGCCCCCAGAGGTGGAGCCTACAGAGGCAGGCAGGCCTCCTTGAGCTGTGGTGGGCTCCACCCAGTTGGAGCTTCCTGGCTGCTTTGTTTACCTAATCAAGCCAGGGCAATGGCGGGCGCCCCTCCCCCAGCCTCGCTGCCGCGTTGCAGTTTGATCTCAGACTGCTGTGCTAGCAATCAGGGAGACTCCGTGGGCGTAGGACCCTCCGAGCCAGGTGCGGGATATAATCTCGTGGTGCGCCATGTTTTAAGCCCGTCGGAAAAGCGCAGTATTCAGGTGGGAGTGACCCGATTTTCCAGGTGCTGTCGTCACTCCTTTCTTTGACTAGGAAGGGGACCTCCCTGACCCCTTGCGCTTCCCGAGTGAGGCAATGCCTCGCCCTGCTTCCGCTCGCGCACGGTGCGCGCACCCACTGACCTGCGCCCACTGTCTGGCACTCCCTAGTGAGATGAACCCGGTACCTCAGATGGAAATGCAGAAATCACCTGTCTTCTGTGTCGCTCACGCTGGGAGCTGTAGACCGGAGCTGTTCCTATTCAGCCATCTTGGCTCCTCCAATATTAAGATTTTAAAAATATAAATTTGTCATCTAAAGGGTAATAAAACACACATTTGCAGGGCTTTTCTAATAGATTGTCATGCTAGAATGATATCTGCATGTGTTTGTGAAAAAGGGAATAAGTTTAATTGAACAGGTATTATGTGTAGTCTTGTATTAACATTATAAAACTGTTATCTCAATCTTTAAAATAACACTTCAGAGCCGTATCAATTTTTTTTCCTAATTTTATTTTTAAAATTTGATTTTTTTAACTTTTTAAACTATTTTAGGTTTGGGGATACATATGCAGGCTTATGATGCAGGTAAACTCGTGTCACAGGGGTTTGTTGTTAATCAGAAGAGGATACTAGGATGGAATAAATAACTTTCCCTAGGTCATAGGTCTAATTTCTGGCAGACCAAAAGTAGAAAGAATACAGTGATCTTTATACCTTAGTATATTCCTTTCTCTTTTTATTGTGTACATTCTTGGAGAGTCTGTAGTAAAAATAAGTGTCTTCTACTTCTTCCAACAAAAGTGATTAAGAAATGATGGGTTAATAAATATATTAATGTAATAAAAAAATGAAGATTTTGGTCGCCAAATTCTTTTATGGGAAAAGAGTTTTTAGAGGATCATTGGAAGTGAGTCTTCCAAGCCTAAATTTTCATTGCCAATTCCAGAAAAAGCTCAATTAAGAGCCTTAAAATAATATTAACTGTTTTTAAAAATTCTTACTTTTTTAGTGTTTTAAGAGTAAATCAAACTAATCTTAATAACTCAATGAAAGTGTTTGCCTTTAATATTTTTGTCTTTCTTTGCATCTTATATCTATGTAGCTGTTACAAAATAATATTTTGAGACAGAAAGTGAAAACAGTAGAACCAATGATTTGGCGGTCTTTAAGAGTGCCAAAATGTTGTCAACAAAATGTTGATTCTCAGTGTGTCTAGTCCTCTTCCTATTCCCCACCCATCTAGATTTCTCTGCTAACAATCAAGCTGGCTAAAGTTGGGAAGATTACCAGATGCAGCAAATGCCACCAAAAAAACAAAGAACAAAAAACAAAAAAAAACAAAACCCTGAATTAATAGCTAGGGAAAATGTCCTCTGAATAAATTCTTGTCAAAGGCAGAGGGATTCTCAGTTCAGGGAGGGTAAAGGTCCCTTGAAGAAAGGAATGGAACAGCCAGCAGTCCCTGAATCCATACCTCAAAAGGCCACAGCCCTGCTTTCAATCACAGACAAGCACTATTTATCTACTTGTCTAAGTTCTTATTTCTGGAAGTTCTCAGCAGCTTTGTCCCACTTATTAATGATTGGTTCTTGTGCTTTGATATGGTTTGGCTGTGTCCTCACCCAAATCTCATCTTGAGTTGTAGCTCCCATAATCCCCACATGTCATGGGAGGGATTCTGAATCATGGGGGTGGGTCTTTCCCATGCTGTTGTCGTGATAGAGAATAAATTTCATGAGATTTGATGGTTTTATAAAGGGGTGTTTTCCTACACAAGCTATCTTGCCTGTGCCATGTAAGACACGCCTTTGCTTCTCCTTTGCCTTCCGCCGTGATTGTGAGGCCTCCCCAGCCATGTGGACCTGTGAGCCCATTAAACCTCTTTCCTTTATAAATTATCCAGTCTTGGGTATGTCTCTATTAGCAGTGTGAGAACAGACTAATACAGGTTCTGATACATGTTTTCTTTCCCCATTGATTATTTCATCTTTATTTTTTACATATGACCACTGTATTTTTCATATATGACCACTTAATTTTTCATGTATGACTTGATGACCACTGGTTTTGGCTATTTGTTTTATAAATGACAGAAAATCAAAGCAAATTCAATTTTGTGAAAAGAATTTGTTGGGTTTATGGAATCTAAGGAAAAGTTGATCAACAATTGAACTTTGAATCTAGCTGAGAATCCACGGGATTCAACAGTCACATTTGAGTTACTTACTGTATCTTAAATATTTAACTGGTAGAACACAGTCTGGCTAAGATTTCTAGGAAAATAAATAAGTAATATGTTGCTTATTTATTTAGCTGGTTTGACATAGTATTCTAATAAGGTCTAACCAATTGCCAGCTACCACCATCATGTCATTGGCCAAATGTCTTGCCACATGATTGAGATCTCAACATTTTTGTCATATGTTCAAGCTTAATTTAACTGAAGCTCCACACGTAGTTAAACGACATTGATCCATGGCTGTGTCTTCAAATTTAATAATAATGAATTTATTTAGTCATCTTACATCTGGACTCCTGCTTACATATCTAATTCTGAAAAATGCCATGAATGTGTGCCCATTCAATTATTGCTTAAGAATGTTTAGTCCACCTGACCCCATAGCTTAGTTAGCACCTAGGAAAGCTAAACTGCTAACACATATTCAGAATATAAGATGATATTCTCACAAAATAAGCCTTTACTTCTGCAAATGCTTTTGCTGCTGCTCTGTAAGTGAGTGACAAAGTAGAATGAAAAAGAATGAGAGTTCTTGACTTCTTTACATTTTTGTTTAATATTTAATTTTTAAAAGCTCATTACTTTTGAGTTAAAAAAAGAAAATATTTTACTACCACTGTACATTCCACATCAATATTTCATTTTCATATGGACAGGCATTATCTGCCAAGTTTTCAAATAAAATTTTATATTTTAATGAAAAGGTATTTTAATTCATTCAAAAACATTATTGTATGGGCTTCCATATATGAATAAGTGGAATAGGTGTTGCCATACCAAAGCTTCCACCAAAAACAACTAGAAAAAATAGATTCATTAAAATATCACATGTTTAACAGCATCAGAGAGCTGTTGAAATGATAAGAATAAGGGAGCTAAGGAATATGGGGAGAAGAGGGTCATAGAGAAGTAGGCTGGCATTTTGCAGTTTCTTTTCTATAGTTATATTTGCAAACTCTGGGTATGAGCAAGAAGTCAAATTTCTGGACTTTGCCCATGCAGAAATCAGCAGCTGCTAAATGGAGAAGTCAACCAAGCATTTGACAGTCTTGCAGGACCACATTAACAAAATTTGACACTTGAGAGACCTTAAATTTATGGTTATTTTTCCTCTAAAGATATTTGCTGAATTCTGAAATTTGGGGGTGTGAGAAAATCAGAATAAAATGGGAAAACAGTAGAGTTTTCTTCAATCTCCTGGCAAAGAGATAAAGACTTCATGTCCTGCCAGGGAAAATGACTCTCATTTGAAAGCCCTGTAGAGCTATGCCACGTAAAGAAGTGAATGAAAATTAGACTGAATTCAGTTAACTCCCAAGCTGGTAAGTCTTCACACTGCCTAGCTGAGGAGAGGGTGAAACCACTCTGAAGGATGAGCTCATCCATAGCCTCTGCAATGTCTTTATGAAAAATGTATGGCATTAAATCAAAAGTCATTAGGCCTGTTAAAAGATGAAATCATGAGACTAGAAATCAAGAGAATAATCAGAATATAAGAAACATAACCAAAAAGCAATCTATCTATTGATGTTAGCAGATGTGAACTTTAAAGTTAGCAAAGATTAACAGTTTCAAGGACATCAATAAAACAATGAAGAAATATGGATTAAAAGAAAGGGAATTTTATGATAGAATTTAGAATATATGAAATAAAATAAATAGATATTCTAAATATGAAATCACAGTATCTGAAATGAACTCAACAGTTATATTTAGCTGCATATTCAACACAGCAGAAGGCAGGATTTGTAAACTGAAAGATAATTTAATAGAAAATATCCAAATTGGAGCATAGAAAGACAAATAATTGAGAATATGGAAAAGAGCATGAGAGACATTAGGACAATTTCCAAAACTCCAGTACACATGTAATGACAGTACCTTAAGGTAAGGAGGGAGAGAATGAGGCAGAAGCATTATTTGAAGAGCTAATGGTGGAAAATATTTCAAAACATACTAAACATAATGACCCACAAATTCAAGAAGCCCAGCAAAACTGCAAGCAAAATAAATGCAAAGAGAGCCCAACTCAGGAATGTTACAATTAAATTGTTTGAGACCAAAAATAAAGATAATATTCTTTAAAATATGCAGAGAAAAAAGACATTACATATAAATAACAAGCTTATAGTTGACTTCTCGACATGAACTATGAAAGCTGATAGAAATGGAAAGTGCTGAGAAAAAACTGCCAAATCCTTCATCAGAAGTAAAAATAGAATAAATGTAATACAAGGTCTATCAATTGTGAAAGTAAAATGTAAAATTATAGTTGAAAAGGTCTTCTTATCATTAATGACATGTTTTCTCAAGAAAACAAAAATTCAGAGATATTTTCACCAGTAAACTTTACTAAAAACAACTACTAAAGGAAATTCTTTGACTAGAAAAAAATTGTCTCAGATGTAAACATAAAAATGCAAAAGACAGGAAGGAGATAAATAAATGTAGTATATTCTAAAGTTCTAGCATTTGCAGACAGAGGTAAAAGTAATAATTTGCAATATTTTGTAGTAGGTCAAGAATATATTAAAACATTACATTCTTTAATATCATCACTAAAATGGTAATTAAAAATACATAGCAAACAAATTAATATTGCAGGATGAATAAGAAAAAATTGATTAATCCAAAGGAAGACAAGAGAAGAGAAAAAAACATAGGACAGGTAGGTCAAATAGAAGACAAGTAACAGAATGGAAGAAATAACTCTAAATATATCAGTGATTACATTATACACAAATAATATCTATAACTCTGTAAGAAAAGGGAAAACAACCCAGTAGGCAAATGAGCAAAATGTTCAAGTAGGCACTTCACAAAAGAGAATTAACAAATGTTGAAGAGACATAAGAAGTTCTCAATTTCATTAGTCATTATGGAAATGCAAATGACAAGTACATTGAGATACCATTACACATACTATATGAATGGCTAAAGTATAAAAAAGACAGGTAAGGCCGGGCTCGGTGGCTCACGTCTGTAATCCCAGCACTTTGGGAGGCCAAGGTGGGTGGATCATGAGGTCAGGAGATTGAGACCATCTTGGCTAACACAATGAAACCCTGTCTCTACTAAAAATACAAAAAATTAGCCAGGCATGGTGGCGGGCACCTGTAGTCCCAGCTTCTCGGGAGGCTGAGGCAGGAGAATGGCGTGAACTCAAGAGGCGGAGCTTGCAGTGAGCCGAGATAGTGCCACTGCACTCCAGCCTAGGCGACAGAGCAAGACTCCGTCTCAAAAAAAAAAAAAAGACAGGTAATATTAGGGATTGATGACAACATGGAGAAATTGCAATTCTCGTTCACTACTAGTGGGAATGTAAATTGGCAAAAGCAATTTAAAACCTTTTTCTTGTAAAACTAAACATACGAAATTACATTAAGTAGTAAATATAAACATAATAATTCACCAATTCCTCTCCCATGCTTATATTCAGTAGAAGTGTGTATGTGTGTGTATATTTGTGTGTGTGCATTCACCCAAAAACATGTTTAATAATATTCAAAACAATCTATTCATGACAATCCAAATATCTATAGAATGGATACATAAATTGTGCTATATGCGTAAAGTGGAATAATATACAACCGTATGAAAGCAAAAAACAAGCCCATGGTTACATGCAAAATTATGCATTAATATCACAAATACTTGAATGAAAGGAGCCAATCCTGAAAGAGTACTTATGATATGATTCCATTTATGTAAAGTTCAAAAACAGGTAAAAATTATCAATGCTATAAGAAGTCAGGATACTGGGTTATATTGATAGGGGTGTACAAGAGCGGCTTTTTAGGTGCTGATACTCTGTTACCTCATCTGGTTGCTGACTACAGATGGGTTTACTTAGTGATCATTCATTGAGCTGTGCACTGGAGGTACCTGCATATTTCTGTATGTCAGTTATTTTTCAATAGTTTGCTTATAAATTATTATGTAAGCACTGAAAACACAAGACTGAACTATGCAATTCTCCTTTATAAATTGCTTTTTAATTATAAGTACTCTGCTAGTAACTGCCAATTGTTACATGTACTGAAAACTGAAGTGCTCAGAAATAATGGCAATGACATTATGTCAGTCACCATACTGTGAGATTTTATATATCTCTCTCCAAATCTCATAACAATTCTGCTTTTAATAATATTACACAAAAGCAGTTTGTTTCATCAGATAGTTAAAGTTATCTGAAAGTTAACTTTAAATAAAGTAAGACAATAAAGAAAGTAAAGAGGACAAAAATTTTAAAGAAAATAAGACAAAATAAAACAAATATTTTATAACAAAATAATAAACCACACCACACAGAAGCTGTATGACTATTCAAAAGGTTGAAAGCTACTAAACCAAGTAGCCTAGCATTTAAAAATTTGTGAATTGCATCTTTTTCCAGGCACTTAAGGCATTTAGAATTTATTGAAAATTTACTAGGTGTCAGACATTTCTAAGAACCGTGGAAGTTACAAAGGAAACATATGCCTTGGTTTCATCCCTCAAGAATCAAACAATATACTCAGGGATATAAGAGTTAAATCTGCAAAACAATGAAGAGAATAACACAAAGAAATATAGTTTAAACTACTAAATTATCTCAGGTATTCCATGGGTAGTCTAAAATGAAAGATACTGATGCAGGATGGAGTGATTGGAAGGCTTATTGGAGGAGGTGGGGCAGGAGCTGGGTTTTGTGAAGGTGATTGACTAGCAAAGTTTCTTGGAGATCTAATTAACACATGTTGTGTTGGACAGCTGAAGATTACCTGTTCTATAATAGTATGAATTGATATCATAAATGGTTCTGATGCCATTATGATGTATCATGTGTGAATAATTCATGCATAGACTAATGGAGCCATACAATGGAACTGCAGGGGTGTTACAAATTAGAATTTATGTGCATTGACATAGCAGTGGGTAGGAGCTGGTATAGTGTTTGCCCCCCTCACTATTCCAAGCTGTGCATTGAATTCACAAAAATCTTTCTCAAAATCATTTATACAAACAGTCTTACAATATATGTCCAAAGGAAAATTGGAGGAAGGGGGCAAAATCACTTGATTTTGAGTTTTACAATGGACCCAACTTTCTGAACATTATTTTTAAACTTTTCTTCAGTTGAAATTTTAGTTGATAATATGATTTAATTATCTTGAAATTCTAAGTGTTACAGTATTAGAATATTTCTTGAATAAGCCCACTGTTCCTTTGCTATTGCCATTGGATTTTTCTTTTTTGCCTCTGAAATTACCAAAATTAATACACAGTTGGCCCTCCATATCCATGTGTTCCAGCTCTGCCCATTCAACTGACCACAGATTTAAAATATTTGGGGGCTGGTTATGGTGGCATATGCCTGTAATCCCAGAGCTTTGGGAGGTTGAGGTGGGAGGCTGCTTGAAGCCAGCAGCTCAAGACCAGCCTGGGCAGTATAGCAAGGCCTCATCTCTACAAAAAACAAAAACAAACAAATAAAAAAAATTAACCAGGCATGGGGGCATTTGCCTATAGTCTCAGCTACTCAGGAAGCTAAGGTGGGAGGATTGCTTGAGCCCAGGAATTTGAGGCCACAATGAGCTATGATCATTGTTACTGTATTCCAGCCTGAGTGACAGAGACCTGTCTCAAAAAAAGGGAAAAAAACACAATAAAAATAATACAAATTGAAAACATTATGTCAAAAGAACTGTTTACATAGCTTTTACAATGTATCTAGAAATAATTTAAAGTATATGAGAGGATGTGCATAGGGTTATTTGCAAATACTATATCATTTTATATCAGGAACTTGAGCCATCCATAGATTCTGGTATCCTCAAGGGGTCCTGGAACCAAACCCCCACAGATACAGTGTATTAGTTTTCTAGGCCTTTTATTGGGGGCAGGGGTGCAGCATAATTTAACCTATAACTAGTTACTAAATAACTAGTATTTAACAAGTTACAGTGCTTTGTGTTTTAGTTTCAACTGCTACTTGCATGTAAATGAGTTTATTTAAAATAAAGAATTTATTTGACAGAGCATTTTGAAGATAACTTTTACCTTTGTCCAATCATTATTGCATACCTGGAAGATGGACCCATTCACACTTTGTTATTGTCATGTTCACTCAGTGCTTCAGAGTCTTAGAATTGAAAGGGACTTTAAAGGTTCAATAATTCTCACATGATGATCAAGCAACTCATACTAATCCATAACAGATTTTGCTGTTCTATACCAAACTGAGAAAAATAAAACCCGTGTCATCTCTTGATTTAGTTAGCTAGATATTTACTTGGCAAAGTTAGAAACTGTTTTTTATTTTTTTTTGCAAGACTGCCCTTAATTTCAATATTCAGTATTCAGTATTCAACTTCCTATATTTTTCTTTAAAATATGTTTATTTTATGAGATGATTCTGGACATTGGTATTGTTTGAAAGTCTTTACTGGGCATTATAAAATTTTAGTAAGCATTTTTTTCAGTTTCCGATTGAAAAACATTCCTGGTCTATGAAATTTATGTCTGGGAACCATTGACCTAACCTAATGACCCTTTTATTACTGAAATTCTCTCCACAATATGCCCAGCATATTATGATTAAGACATTCTACCACTTCTTAATATAGTCCTTTCCATTGTCAGGCAATTTTTTAGAGAAGACTTTTTTTAAAAAAAAAAATTCACTGAGATTTTCTTAAAAATTTTCCTGTCTGATTTTTACCTCTGAAATCATATCAAGAAAGTATAATTCCTGTTCTAAATGTGGCCCAACAAATATATAAAGTATTATTTCCCCCATGACCATACAACCCTGTTTTCTTTGACTTCCTCACACAATATTATTGCAAATTACTCAACTTCCTTCCTGTCCTCTAAATCTGTTTTGTCAGTGATACTCAAATCCTGGATACTCAAGAATGAATACTGTATCTAGTAGAGAATAACTCATCTTCAAATCTCTAGATCTTACGTCTTTGTTAGTACATCTTACTATTTAATTAGACAGTTTGTCAATCATTTTGAATTTTGAATTTAATGTTTCAAATATTTTTTCTACCTGTGGCTTACTGTTCTCACTCAGAAAACCAGAAAGTAGCATATTAAGAAATAGCAGGTAAAAATTTACTTGTAGACAACTCACTTCAGGCAAATTATAGAGCTTTCATTTAAAGAAAAGATAAAAACAAAACAAAAACAAACTCTTCCTTCAAAGTCCAGTACCTCCTGAATGGTCATCTTGTTAAATTCAGTTCTCTGTAAGGAATAATACTGATTGGTAGTTAAAGAGTTAATTCTTCTGTGGACTGCTCCATTTTAGCAAAGATAGAACCATAAAGTAAGTTCAGCAAAGTTCAAAGTTTATAAATAAAGTTTTATTGGAACATAGCCACACCCATTCATTTTGTGTTATCTGTTTACTTTAGCAGTATAATGGCAGAGCCAAGTAGTTGCTACTGAGGTCATATGACCACAAAGCCTAAAATTTCTACTATCTAACTCTTTAGGAAGTTTATTAACCTCTGAGTGACAGGACTATTTCTACTATGCATTTTGGGGATAAGAAACAAGTCAGAGAGAGTTGAAGGGAATAAGAAAAGGTGAGAGAAACTTTCATGGACACCTGTAATTAGAGCAGAGCTAGTTCTCAACCTTCTCAGCAAGAGGTGAGTACTGGTTGGGAGGAGAAATGAACAGCACTGACCTGATTATTATAGATTTGACATTTGCTTGAGAAAAGATTAGTTCCATATGGTAAGGCTAAAAAACTAGATGCCACAGTGCTGAATTGCTGCAGAGGAGTAGGCAATTTTGCAGTAGTATATGTAATGTTATTTATGCATTACATTAAAGCTCTTTTTGTCACGATGTTCAGACCCCTCTCCTCCACCTTAAGTTTGAAAATAAGGCAAGCCAAAGGATCCTATATTTCACTATGTAGTATTCACCAAAGAGGAGATTTTAAAGAGCTGACTAAACAGATTCAAAAAAATTAAAATAACTTTCATATATACCACACTGCTTTAGGAGCAGTGAAATAACACCTGAAGAGAAACCACCATTTGTAGTGAAATTAGTTTCTGTTTTATCAAATACATAGCAACAGGAGGCTGATCGTGCAGATGTAATTCATATCTTGGTGGTGATTTAAATCCTTTTATATTATAAGAGGTTTGTTTTTGTTTTTGCTTTTAATCTGGAAAACAAAAGAGAAACCAAGCAAACCTCTATTTTTAATGTGTGTGAAACATGTTGGGCCCCCACAAAGGAGATTGAAGAAAGAAAGAAAAAGACAAAAAAGGCATCATTTCAATGTTAAAAATGTCTGTGTGGTAATTTTTCATTTGTGAATTAACAAACAGACAAATGAGAAACTATTTTTGTTGTGCAATGAATTTGCATGGAAGACCATAAAATTTAATCCACAGTGCTGTGCAAGATGCTTTTGCGTGTCTATGGTGCTGCTGATCAGGCTTGATCTCCTTATGGGTTCTAGATATTTCTTTTTCATCAGAACTCTCTGCCCTGTGTTACATTCACTCAAAGCTTCAGGATGATGTCATGGATCCTGCTTAAGAAACTTCAGAAATAAAAGCCCATCTGTGGTGTCAACTTTACGAGAAAACCTGAAAACTCCTACTCCTACTCCCACAGAATACAAGATACCTATATCATATAATGTACCTTGACTGGAAAGGTTACTGGCCTACGATGCCCTTCTGAGCCCTGTTGGAACCTAAGCAAAAGGGAAACTACGCGCTTCTATCCACTTACCAAAATATTTTTTTCATAACTTGAACCAAGTGCAAAAGTTAATAGAAACTACATTTCTAAAAGTGAATATATGTAAAACACTGTATTGCCAATCTCTTTGCACACTATTGTTAAATTAACCTGACTGGAGGGGAATGTGATCACGATGTGGACAAGGAATCAGGACTGATCAGAAATAACTGTTTTCATTGCATACTAATGCAGGATCATAAGACAAACCAATGAAATAACATTTGACTGATTTTAAATTAGCCTTTATTTAAAATTTTGATATTTTGTTCATCATGGATTTTCATACATAAATTTTGGTTTTAAAAAAATGTTGCAATACAGTATTTTTATTTTGACTACTGAGCTTTTTGTCATTTCTTTAAATGTGGTTACTGAGATGAGTACCTCACTTGTGTCATCCTAATCCTGGACCTGTTAATCTGTTATTCGGATTTTTACCTAAGATATGATGTTGCTCTTTAAGAAGCAAAAATGTCCCGGGTAATCTTCTCCAGTACATGTATCTAGTCTAGAGTTTTTCAAATGTCCTAGAAACACTAGAATTTCAGAGATATTAATAGGTTTTCCATGAAAAATAAAGGCATTTTTTTGTCAAAGAAGTTTAAGAAATTGCATATTACATCTGTCTCTCTTTCTCTGTGTCTCTCTCTTTCTCTCCCTCTGGAAACTGACAATTATATTACCTTTTAAGGTTCTGAGAAGTCCCATGATAAAGATAGCTGCTAAAACATGCTTAACCACACTTACCTGACTTGTTTCATAGAGCATCTGTTATCATCTTGGGGGATACCCATGTATTATTTAACTATTACTGCACAACAGATGACCCTAAAACGTAGTGATTTAAAATGACAATCAGTATTTACTATTCTTACAGTTTCTATGGATCAAGAATTTAGAAGCAGTTTTACTGGATAATTTTAGCATGGGCTCTCTCATAAGGTTCAGCCATGATGCTCACCATGACTGTAGTCATCTGAAACCTCGATTGGGGCAGGAGGAGCAGCTTCCAAGGTGACTTCCAAGGTAACTGGCAAGTTGATGCTGACTTTTGGCAAAAGATTTCAGTTTAGAAAGATTTACATGTGGATCTGGCCACAAGATGCTTGAGTCGTCATGACATGATAACCGGCTTCTCTCAAAGCAAGTGATAGGAGAGAGACAAGCAGAAACTATCCTTTTTTTAATGACTTAGCCTCAGAAGTCAAATAGTATCATGCTGACAACATTCTGTTTATCAAAAGTGAGTCATGAGGTCCAGCCCACCCTCAAGAGGACAGAATAATGGTCCTCTGTTGGAAGGGAAGAGTGTAAAAGAAATTGTGAATCTATTCTTAAAACATCATAGAACATAATCTGGGAAATTTTGCTGCAATCTTCTGTTTTCTACCCAGATATTTTTACTCATTGAGGGCAGAAATCCAAGCTTAATCCTAGACTCCCAGCTGGCTAGCTATGCACTGTAATGTACAACAAGCTTAGGTAATTGTAGGGAATATCTGTTGTTTTTGCCTACCTTCCTCTCTGGTTACAGCAATTCACTTTTCTTTTGAGTTCCAGCCATCCACTTTTCCACAACTCCATGTGGGTTTGGTGAGAACATCAGTCATGGTGCCACCAGTGCCACCATCATCATAGAGGTGGGCATAGGACCAGGTGGCCAATCAGAGACCCCCTTCTCTTGTTTCCAGTGATTGCATTAGTGATAGGCACATGATCCAAGAAAGTTCTCTAATAGTTTATATTTGTTGCTGAGGAATAACAGATGCAAAATCACAGAGAGGAAAGCATCTGTAGGAGACATAAAGAGAGCCAACAGAGATGACAAACAGAGTAAGAAAATCCTAATGGTTTACTTTAGCCACTGGATTCAATTGTGCACGAAGCCATATAAGTTATGTGGACCAAGACATTTGTCTATTTTTAAATCTAGTTTGAGTTGTTTTTTGTTTTGTTTTGCAACTGAAGGAGTTCTGATAGTTCAGGTATGATGGCTCAGCATAGATAATTTTTTTTTAACAGTGCCTTCCAAGCATTAGACAAAACTAAGAAATAAATACAACAAATTTATGGAACAAACTGGTGTATTAGAGACAAAATTCCAAAAGTGCTTTATTTCTTTTTTCAATATCATTTGGAGCTGCTTGTTCATTTTTCTCTACCCATGAGTTATCTCTTGCAGGTCCTCTAGCTTTTCCAGTCACTCTCAGGTATGAATAAACAGTAACATATTTTAGTTAATAGAAAGAGTAGTTCTGTTTAATATTCCACACCCAAACTCTCATTCGAATGAACATTTCTGATTTCTTTGCTTCCCTATCTTAGGGAAGACACAGTTCAACTTTTACCAATGTCCCCACTCACTTTTCCACACTTTTTTTTTTCCAACATCCTGGGCCACTGGCTTCTCCAAAGTTGGAAACAGGTTCAGAGAGAGATTTATGAGACAGAAGTGACCTTTGGGTTTTATTGAATATTCAAATCATTGCCTTCTTCCCTGAATCTTTGGGGAAGTTTTTGGAGACTCACACACACATGCACACACTGTTACACATTTCCTGAGACTTCTCACTGACTTTTTCCAACATAGGTGCTGCCTCTTTTGGCCAGTTGCTTATGACTTGATGCCTGAATTCTGGAAGTCCACTTCCACAGATGTTATTTGTTGGATTCACATTGTCCTGTGGCTGTTACTTTCATGCAAAGTCCAAGAGAACCAAAGTCTTCTTTGAGGTCACCCTTTCCAAAGGAACCACCCATTGTCCTGCTGCACCAAACTCTGGCAGTGTAGGTTTTTCCTAGGGTAGGTGATACCTAGGAGTCACCAAGGCTGTTTGGAGTCTCCTTCTGTGAATGCCTGCAAGGACTCTGCAACTCATTTTAGAATGTGAGGGTACTTAGAGTTCTTGGCTCTGGAATTTCAGCCCAAATTAGATAGCAAGAAAGGTTCTCATTTAATATACTTCACAAGTATGTCAGCCATAGTTTTTAGGATAGATTTTGAGCAGAGGGCTTTGGTCACCACTTCTCATGATACTCTTTTTTTTATTAACCCGTCAACATCTGCTGCTTTCAAGGCCGGGCCTGGTGGTGACCTGGCTAAGCTAAATGTATGAGTCAGGAAAATGTGTTTTAAACATACTTTCAGAGAAGTTGACAAGAAAGCAGTTAGCGTTCTTGAACTTGAGTCGTTTATTGTCAAATGGATGTGGCAGAGCTATCACGAATGGGTTCCTAGGAATAAGACTGACAGATGCATACATACAACCACCTGTAGCTCACCTATAAAATATATTCTTTAGTTGAAAGGGGAGAAATGCAGAACAAAGAGTCAGAAAGCCTGAGATTTAAAAAGCTTCTTGAATGAATATAGTACAATTCAAAGTAGGCATTGTTAGCCTACCTTGTACAAGGATATGGCATTAAATTTTATAATTTATATAACACAAGAGATCCTTCTCCTAAGAAGTTTATAACTGCATGACAGTTAGACTGTTGATAAATGCTTGAGGGGATGGATACCCCATTCTCCATGATGTGTTTATTTCACATGGCATGCTGTATCAAAACATCTCATGTACTTTACAAATATAAACATTTAATATCAACGCATAAAAAAATTTTAAAAATGATAATAAAATTTATACTGTTCAATAGCTTGCAAGAAGGGACATCAGAATTACAACCACAGGTAAAAATGGATACATTAGGGATGAATTTTGGAAGAAGCAAAAAAATAGAAAGCAGTTAGAAGGGGAGCACATAAATTAGGCATGAATTGTTATTAGAAGATAACAGCATGTAGTAAAATATAAATAAAAATATAATTTTCACATTAAGTATCAAAATTTTTAATATAGCTTGCTTCTTTAAAAAATGACTGGAGCAGATCATTAATGCTTGATTTTAGACTCTAAATTGTAGTTATTTGCTTTATTTTTAAAAAGGAGATGGAACCACGCTTTTTACCTGTTAGGGCAGAGGCTTCTGACTTTTGAACTGAATCAAATGGTCTTCCCTGAAAGTTCCTGAAAGCTACTTGGTACAAAGTGTTCTTTTATTGATTTTTAAAATGCTTTAATCAATAGCATAAACCATTCATACCTAATTTAAGTGCTCCCCTTATAATTGCCTTCTACATTTTTATTTCTTCCAAAATTCACCTCTAATATATCAATTTTTACCCGTGGTTATAATTCTGGTTTCCCTCCATGCAAGTTATTCAATGGTATAACTTTAGTGCAATCAATGAATCAGTTCTGTAACTCAACAAATGTTACCCTGAAAGATGACATTCTATAGTATTATCATTGTTTTATACATAAATATCATTTTATTTTCCAGTGTCACTGTTGCTTAAACTCTTACTCAGATAACAGATAAGATTAAGTCACAGAATTTCCAAATTCATCAAAATTACTTGTTTTTGTTTTTTTAAAGCAAGTTTTCTAAAGGTGAGTTTTAAATGCAAGGTCTAGCTTTATGATATAAGTACAAACTTAAAATTTTAGGAATTTTGTTGGAATAATGTTCAAAATCTTAAATGAGGCCCACTAGGTCTTGTGCAATAGAATATGATTCTTTTGTGGTAGCGAAAGATGGTCAATGATAAAAGAGACTCAAGATAGGCCTAGAAAACCAGTTTCTCTCCTGCTTCAGAATCTTCACTTAGGTCAAGTGCAGGCATTAGTGAAAAAAAGCCAATTAGATCTGAAGGGAGCATGCATGCAGTAGGAAGATCGTGAGGTAGGTTGGGGTAGGATTGTGTCAGCATTCAAGGAAATGCCTGAGTGTGGTCTTCATCCTATAGGCAGTAAGTTGCATCCAAAGAATTCTGAGCAATGGTGTGGCGTGATCAAATCTGTGTCTGACTGCAACGTAGAAGAAAGATCTGAAAAGTACAAATTTGGGGGCCCATAACCTAGTGAGGAGGCTGTTATAATTATCTCACTTACATAGGACATGTTATTTAGTAGAATGTTTCCCTGAATTCTTAGTTGATAATCTAGAATCAAAGCACATGTCAGAAAGTTTTACTGGTAGTTGTTAGGTCAAGTATACTTAGCGGCATCCCAGAAGATTGTCAGTGGCTGCATTTTGTCTGGTGCTAATGGCTGATGATAGTCCATACTTGAGTCAGAGATTCCAAGGCTAATTCTGATAAATCTTGCTTCTATCCAACCTCTCCTGGTATCCTATGCTTGGCTTCCAAATTTCATGGTCACAATAGTCTAGGCAATGAGAAAGTCAAAAGTCAGGATATTTTATTCACCTAAAATCTGATAAGTTTCAGAGTAAATGTCTCCTCTAAGGAATATTTGGGGTTTTAAGGTTACACATAAGAAAAATCTGAAAACCTGGAAGATGTGTATCAAGTATTTTATTGATAGATGGACACAGTATTCAAGTGGTTAAAAGAAGTCCTATTTTTGGCATAGATTCCTTTCTGTTGTGGATAGCGGTCTACTTTTATTCAGTTTTGTGCAATGATCACCCAAAGGAGTGTTAAGAGAAACGTGATTTAGAGAATGATAGAACAACCTTCTGAAACACACAATGGATATGGCTTTAATATTACAAATATTATGGATCTAGATAAGGCACTTAAATAATAATGAAGGCTTCAGATTCTCATGCTGAGTGATTCAATGAAGCACTATGAAGTCTCAGGATATTCTGGCTCTTATCACTCAAAGTTAGTAGAAATGGTATTAGAGAGATTCAGGTTTTGGATTTATACTCAAAATCGTTGAAATTTTATCTTCCAAGAATAAAGAGATTTAGATTCAAGTGTTTAGAAGGCCTGTGATATGTGTGTGTGTGTGTCTGTGTGTGTGAAGTATCAGCTTTTAGTTGGTAAAATACTGATCTTTGATGAGGGAAACCAAAATTCTTTCAAATTATATGTAATAGACATCAGTTGCCCTACACAACTATTTTCCAGTTTGGTGAGTTACCTTTTTCCTTGATTCCTGTTTATACTTTCCAGTCCAGCTAGGGAAAATGAGATGGATCCTATTCGGCTAGAATTCTCTCCTGAAGTCTTACAAACTCAGAGGTTTGTTAATTGTGCACTAACACAAAGCAAACCAGTTTGTCTGTTGGAACATTTCTAAGCGGGCTTCATCTCAACTCTGTTCTATTGAGAGGACCCATAGGCATTTTCAAGGAGTGTGGATTTTATGACTGCAGCTTGAGTGCAGCTGTGTCTTTTCCAATCTAGGGCCAAGAGACAAAATGCAACATGAGATTTTTAAACATTCCAAGGCCCATCTGCCATGTAACCCACTTATCTTTGTGGCTGCAAGTTCTTTATTGATCCAAAATGGTAAAGAAAAAAAAATGGTAACAAAGGGGGAAAATGCAGGGGGAGAGAAAAGCCATAATTCCTTTCTTTTGTTGTTCTTCCAGCAGCATCTGTGAGCAATTGTCACAATTACTAGTCAAACTGTATTTGACTTGTTGCCAACATGAATTTTCCAAAAACCCAGTGTAAACAAACTCTGCAAGTACTTCCTCATTTGCCAAGCCAGTAATTATTTACTTTGTTTGGGCCTAGCATTAATGTCAGTTCAGCTTTACAGCCTGTAATGTGTTTGTTAATGAAACTGTGAGGTCTAAAGCTACATATTAACCTTGCCACCCTTCAATTTTGAGCTCAATAAAGTTGCACCATGGTTTTGTAAACTAGTGTTGGGGACAGGCAAATGATTAATTATATTTTTTCCCTTTTCCTTTATCCAAGCAAATTGTTAATCTTTAAGCCTGCCTTGCATTTTAAAGTTAACAAACTAAAATCCAGCTGCTGGGAGATATGATATTATTTAGACAAGTCTCTGTGGCTGTTTTGATGCCATATTTGGAAGTCCTCAGCAGTGATGCTTGTGTTGATGTTTAGTAACCTTGCAGGCACTGTGTGCTTCTTGAAAGGAAGGAAAATGCCTTAGAAAATCTGGGAATATCTATTTGGTAAAAAAGTGATGGAATGCATAGCTGGGACCCAGTATTCATTTCATGGAACTAAATCAAAGTCAGGTGTTTTGAGGATATTCGGGTAATTCAGCTAATAAAATAGACAAAAATTCCTGATAGGGGAGGAAGCCGAGAGCCGAGGGAGAAGGAGACTTCTGATTTTAAGGATATGATATTTTTCCCTCAGTCACAGTGGAATCTGCTCTGTCTCTGGTGTTAAATATACACTGTGCAGTGACTGCGCTCTGGAATACAACAGAAGGCAGGTAAAAAGCTCGATTCTCATAGAATTTCTATTCCATGGGAATTGGGAGGACAGATAGTAACCAAGAAAATAAATAGGCAAATTCATTTCAGATCAGGATAAATATTACAAAGTCAGTAAAATAAAGGGATAAAGCATGAAGTCACTGGTTTGGGTGGTCAGAGAATGCATCTTTGAAAGGGAGACATTTGAGCTCATACCTGCATATTGTGACACAGCCCCCGTTAAATGTATGGGGATAAAACTTTTCAAGAAAAGGGAACAGCAGCAAGTATTTGAGCCCTTTGCTAGGTACCAAGAAGAGGAGGAAAGCTGGTGCTGGTGTTGCTACCCAAACAACTTTAGATGTGAAAGGAAAGAAGTGATAGATTTTAGGATTACACCTTCAAGAACAGAAATTCTTCTGAAGATTACTGGGGTAGCCTTGATTTGTTTAGGAGAGGGACAAACATGAAGGGGAAAGCACCTGGCTGATACTAGATAAAAATTCCCTGTAAAAATATCCCTTTTTATAAGCGCCTTCATGACCACCTCCTTTTCCGAGTGTTTGAAGGCTTAAAAGCCTCAGTAACTGTCTACAGATTTGACTTACAGATGAAATTTAGTTCTTTACTGGGGAGCTATGACTATTTGATTTACCTGACATGGAAATTGACTCTAGATAGAGGTGTCTATTTTATCTAATATAAAACTGTAACGTTTCAGGAAGTTAGATGATTATTTTCTCCTTTATCTCTGGAGAAGGTGTGAGTAAATCCCCCCAAAGGAATAATTTTGTTTAGCATCAGAAACTGATGGTTGTGTTTGATTATGTAGTTCTGAGCTCAGAATAGGCATTTTATGCAAAAATCAATATGAATTATGGAAAGAATCTAGCATTTTAGTTACACAGTGTAGAATTTTATAGTTAGCTACAGTGAGGAAGGAAACTACAGAAGGCAATTTCAAGAATCTTTCAGGAATCCTTTTTCTGGGGAAATACTTTACACTTAACAGTATAAGTTGATGAAAAATGCACAAATTGGATATTCTCAAAATAAATGATGAGAGAGAAAATGTAAAGAATCTTATGAAAAATGTCAATTCCTTATGAAAAATTATATTTTAACTTCCTTGTATGCCCAGAGTCCTTGCATTCATATCTTATTTATTTTATTTAACATATTTTTTTGAGGCAATCTTAGCTTATGAGCTAAAAATTTCAACTTGTCATACCAAAAATATTTTTAAAATAACAATCCTCCAACCCTGGTTCACATAAATCACAAACAGAACAGAAATTGGTGGATAATTGGATTGAGCTCTGAGCTTAAAGATGAAGGAGACAAAAGCATGCCCCAAAGAAGCATTTGATAGTCTTATCTGTGGATGTTTTACACCAGGCGTGGAGGCAGTATTGTTTACAATAATTTGTGCTATCTGCAGTGACATTTTATTTGAGCTGGTATCTTGTATCTAAGCCAGAACATTCATGTATAAGGGTTTGTTTTGCTCTCTCTCACTTTGGTTCAAATGTGGTACTAAAGCAACAACGCCTCTTTTGAAGGCTGAGCTGGCAAGCTGAGGAGCTTGTTTCTAATACAGGGACACAGGCTGTAGAGCAAGAATGATAACAGAAGACAATGACATGTCATGGGAGCTTTGCAACAGCTGTAGTCTTCAGAAGGTCAGAAACAGTGCTGCAAGCTACCTTTGTAGATAGAGTGTACAGAACTTAATAAACTTAAACTCACTGGATTTGGAGTAATCGTAAACCTGCTACCCCTCTGCTCATGCTTCTCAAATAAATCTCGTAAATCCCCAGCGATAGCTGAGTTTTTAAGAGTGTCATCATTTGTGATAATAATCACTGAAAGATACACAGAGGCTCTTCCATATTGTTTATGGCTGGAATTTTAAAGAGCCACTACATAGACGAAGAATGAGGTATGTTTCCTTGTTAATGATCCAATGAGCCACACGTGTTTTCATGCATATAATTTAGCCATTCTGCGCAGATGCACACTGAATAATGTTCCAGGCATTTCCACTTTTTTCTTGTTCACAGTCTTCCTTCTCCTCCTTTCTCTCAGCCCTTGTTTCTAGAATGTGCTCTTCTACGTCAGTGATGATGAAGTTGAGACTAACTTCAGTAGACATTGTGAAGCTGAGTGCTCAATGAATTGTTTTTAAAATACTTTAATTTATGCCGATGACTGCAAATAATTTTTTAAAATTTATTTTTATCTATTTGTAAATGTTTGTGCCCATCTCTGCAGAGTTAGGAATATGGAACAGAGAGAAAGGTTCAAAAATGTGGAAAGGATACTATAATAAAAAATAAAATCTATTCAACAAAAATGCTTGCTTATTTTAAATATTGTACTTGTGGAAAGCAATGATGACACTCATATTTAAAGTAGATTGAGAGTCATCCCAAGATCCCAAGATTGTAACCTACTGTATGAAAGACAAGGACTTGGTTTAACCAGTTTTTTAAGCTGGAAGAAACTTCTGGAGGCAATATAGATATTTCAGACTTTTTTTTTTATTTTGGCCTATGGATTTTACTGATAAACCTACATGTAGTTTAATTACTTTATGGTTATTTTAATATCAGGGTGATGGAACAATATATCTTATTCACCACATACTCCAGTTGTATGTTTCGTCCGTTCATTTGTTGATTCATTGATTCACTTTTACTAAGTGTCTGCTATGAGAAATATTGTGAGGATGAAAGGAGAAACAAGATTGAGCCTCTATCCTTGAGACCTCCTTAGGGCACATTTGCCTGTGCTCACACATACATATTCACATACACTTTCACACATACACAGGTTGACAAAGTATTTCATGTGCCAAATAATGACCTTGCCTGTCTACTTGGAATCTGGCGGTCAGAGTATGAAGAAACACTTATTTTCAGCCTGAGGCCCAGAGAGTCACTGAGATTTCTCTGACCAGATACAAAACAGTAATGAGGATGACAGAAATAATTTTTTTATGCTTTTAGAATAAACTGTATTGAGCCTAGTAAGTTGGGTAAAATCTCAGTTTTCTTAAACTATTCAGTTCTCAACAATAAACTTTAATTGTAGATGTTAATAAGCCATTACGTCCTTCTCTGAATGCAGGCATGGCACACAGAATCCCACTCCCAATTCTTCTCTACAACCAATAGGAGAAGAAACCAATATCTCAAATCCCACAGATGTCCTCATTGGTATTTTGTGATTTTCATAGTCATTTTGTGTATACCTTCTGAATTGCAATTTAGAATTAAATTATCTCTTGTTATTACTGGTGACCCAATGTTCTGAATAAAAATTTCTTTTGTTCAATTAAGTGACAAATATATTGAGAAGTACATTTGAAGTACTACTCAAATATTTCTCAAATATTTGAGAAGTATATTTGTTTATACTTTGGATTCCTCCAAGTAGTATTTGAGGATGCTGGGCTAAGAACAATCTTTAGCTCATATTATGCCTATATCTATTTAGGTAGACACCGTGGCTTCTCTGTGGATGTGCTTGTGGGTTCATTTGATTTTAAAAGCCAAAGCATCAGCTCATGTTTTAAGATGAATAACCTTGTAATCATACCTTATGCTGTATTATATCTCTACTTATACCATCAACAAGACAGTGAGCTTCTTGAGGACCAGGATTATTATTATTTATCTTTATAGCTTCAGTCCCTAACACTGCTGAACTATAGGAAAGCCTTGAATAAATAGGACTTAAAACAGAGATGAGGAAGGGTCAGTCATGAAGGTGGCAGCAAAGTGTGATTCCAAATGCAAAGCATATTTTTGAAATGCAAATGCATACTTTCAATTTCTGAGAAGGAAATTCACCCTGGAAAATAACATCTACTGAACATACAGAATTTAAATATTAGCTACCATTTATTGAGCTCTGAGTGTGAATTAGAATCTGTGTGCCAGGCTCTTTGTATACAATATCTTATTTTATCCTTGCAACCACAGGAGTGATAGGTAAAAGCAACTACCATACAGCAAAATAAATGTGATTGTGCGATAGAAACTACCTGGGAACAAGAATGCTTTCTGTTTCCTATTCTGTTACTGATTTGTGTCTCTGGTATTAGAACCAGGCACCGTTCTAAGTACCAGAAGTGGATTTAACAAGAAGGAAAATACTGTATTTGGGGCTTAAGGTGAATCTGAAATGAGTAAGACAAAGTGTCTACCCTAAAGGCCTATAAAGAGCTTGTTTAATGTATTTGGCATTTGGAAGAGTATTTGTACACTTAGTGACAAAAGTTGCATCAGAATATTTGGGACTAAAGCCAGACTGCAGTGGAGTGAGAATGAACACAACCTATGGAAGTGAGCAGAATATATGACATGTTCTTCCAAGAGGTTGATGAAAAGGACAAGAAAGGGAAGGGTAATCTGGGGGAAATTAGGGTTGAGGGAAGGTTTTCTTTCTGCTTGTTTCGTTCAGAAGAGTTGAGTCCACCATCATGCATAAATAAGATAAAGAAATGACAAAGAGGAATGCTCTTATAGTAAAAATATAAGAAAGGTAGAAGGCAGGTACAGAAATAAGCAAAAAGAAATGAATGCAGGATAACTGATGTACAATTCTGTACATCTTTTTGAAAATTTGAATAAATTTCCCCTTTTTTATGTACATGTTGAAATTCTATGTGTTACCTAGTGGAATGCTTTGCTTAGACTTCTAATCCAGTTCTCATTAAGCTTATTATTATGTTTTCACTCACTTTTCCAAGACAGTTAATATTCCTTTAAACAATCTTGTATTATAAATAACATTACTGACAAAAGTAATACATGTTAATTGTAAATAATTTGGAAAATACAGATGAGCCAAATAATTTTGTATTTTAAGTTCATTCTAAATATACTCATTATCTTTCCATCAGTAGGAATTATGATGATCATGGCCACCACTGAATCAGTCTCTCTCTTTTCTATATTTTGAAAATGTATATTGCTTTTTTTGAAATACAGGATCACATAGCCAAAACTATTATAAAATCTGCATTTTAAAACAATATTTCTTACCAATATTTCTTTTCATGTCATTCCTATAAATATGTCTCAACATTTTATTGGCAAAAGATAATTCAATTGTAGGAATTTATTATAATTCATTGAATAATCCTTTACTGTTAGATAAAATTTTAGTGCTTTTAGATTTTACTATTATAAACAAGTATCCATGACTGCCCTTAGAATCCTAGAAGTCAATTGTTGAGTCAGAATATGCACTATGTTTTTGTGACTTCTGTGATGTTTTTCCTGATTGTCTTCCATAGAGGTTATACTTAATGTACATGATCAACAGAAGAATATGAGAGGGGTTATTGTCCCTCACCATGGCTAATGCTAGAGATTAGCATTAAAAATCCTTTTAAATATCAAATTTTATTTCATACATACTTCTTTAGGGTGCTACTTTGTATTTTTATGGTAAGATTGGATTTACTTCTATTGACTCTGTCATTCCGTGGTCGTTTACTTATATGGTTATTTGATATATTTTTGTTTTGGGGCTGAATTTCTCTTAGTGTGTGGCAAGCACGCTTTTAATGTTATGTGTTGAAATATGAGCCACTTGTTAGACATTTATATTCTGTAAATATTTCCTCTTTTTGTCATTTGCAATTTATAATAATTTCAGTCGTGCATACATTTCAAAAATTTGAAGTATTAAGCATTTTTCTTTATGGCATTAAGGACTGTATAAATATTCACCTAGTATGTTTATGGTTTCACTTTTTATGTTTGAATCTTTAAACACTTGGAGTTAATTTCATTGTAGGGTATCAGGTGTGTAGTATGGATTTAAGATTATTTTTGTGTTTGGCTAGTTGTCTAAACACCACTAATTGAGTAATCAATTTGAGGTACCATTTCAAATCATATATTAAGTTCTTATAAATGACTCTAGGTGTAAATATTATAATTTTCTCAATTGATATGTCTGGCATTTCCTGCAACAATATCACATAATTTATTTTATCATACTTCGTATTGTCACTTGGATGAGATTTTCCTGTCTTTTACAATTTCAAAATATTTTGGCTTTTTAAACATATTTATTACATTGTTATCCTCACAGTTATTTTGGCAATTATATCCATACAATGGAATACTAGTAAGCAATAAAAAGGAACAAACTACTGACACAGCTACACCATCGATGAGCCTCTAAAACATTACATTCATTGAAAGAGCTAGACACGAGAGATCTAATAATATATGATTTGAGTTATATGAAATGCCTGGAAAAGGCAAATTTATAGAGACAGAAAGTCGATTAGTTGTTACACGAGACTAGCGATGGAAACTGGAAATAACTGTAAATGGCAATAAGGGATCTTATTTGTAGGGATGAAATGCTCTAAAACTAATTTAGGATTTTGGCTAGACCATGCAGTAAGGTTACCAAAATTTATTTTATTGCACTGGAAAGGAGTGATTTTTATGATATGTAAAATACAATTCAGTAATGTTGTCATTTTAAAAGAATTATTCTAGCAAGTTAATAAAAATTATCACTGTTTTGTTAGAAATTGGACTATATTTATATATTAATTTTATAACTGATTTCTAAGAATATTGTTTTCTCTTCTGAACTATGATATTTATTTTCTAGGGAATTTCTAGAACTTTATTACTATAACTTCACAGTTTTACTATTAATCCCCTAGATCATTAGGTTTGTTTGTTTGTTTTATTTTTAGGAGGTTGCTATTGTTGATAATTTTCCCTCATTAAATAAAATAAGTGCTTATTGATAATATAAATAGAAGACTGCTTGGTTTTTATGTATTTACTTCATAAATAGTCCCATTAATAAAACTGATTGTTAGTTCTAACAAGTAAGTGATTCTGGAATGCATGGAAAAGTGTGAGTTACATTAGCAATCTGACTGACCTCTGGACCAGAGATTTTAGAACAACAGATTATAGATTTAGCCATAACTTGGGTAATTTCACTGTGAGTTTTCTTCCCCCAGAAGTTGTTAGGTGGAGGTCACTTGGTCCTGGAAATTTATCAACATTTAGTTTGTCAATTTGGTTTAAATTGAGAATATCTACTACCAATATCAGACCTTGAACCTATGGCCTACCAATATGAAAATAGAATTTTAGAATGGGGATTTTTATAACAGCATGCTTAGTAAATTAACTATCTAATGTGTAACAGTGATTAGCATTTCACTGAATTCAAGCATATGTTAGGAGATCACAATCAGAATCCTGGCCATCAGGTAAATTAAGAAACCATTTGGCTGGGAATAGAATGATTAGCATAGGGATAATCTCCTCTGTTGCTGATGATTATTGGGCTTGAGACAGTTATCTAATATCCACGTTTCAGCAAATATTGAGCAAATCTTTACCACTAGGAAAAAAAAATGAAGATTTTAGTTGCTTATATTCAGTTGCTGACATATTTACCATTTAAAGACACTCTGTTATACTAATGTACACTCTAATTACCAGATAAAGGTGTATGAGAGGAAGTTAGAAAGGTCAAGTTGTGGTAAATTTATGAAAAAAAACGAAAGAGAGAAGGTGGCATGTTGGAATTCACTTAGAAATATGTATCATTGTGAGGAAAGAAGTAAATTTTGAAAGTTGCCCTGAATTATTGGAGCAGAGAAAGTATGACTTACAAAGATATTGTGGCATGATATTGCTGTTCATTTAGAGTTGTAGCAATTTTTAATTTTTATTACTGGATGCAGTAATATCAAGAGGCATTTGAGATATCTGCTGGTTCCATTGAAACACCTCCTATTGTATGACAGTTACAAAATGTTTTTCTGGATAATCAGGATTATCCCCCAGCCAATATTGTAAATATTAATTTTTGCCATTTACCTTTTGGCACAAAGACCCCCAAACTGCAGTCTCAATTTATCATTAAGTTGGCATTGCTCCATCTTGGAAGCACAAATCTCACAGGTACAAAACCTTCAAACCAATAGAACCAAAAGTTAAAAAGATGGAGTAAAAAGTTATTAATGGGTTATTACTTGAACAAGCAAGTAAATTTGGAAAGTGGCTCTGAAATATTTGAGCAGAGAAGGTACGCATTACAAAAATATTTTGGCATGATAGTTCTGTTCATTTTTTCACTCTTATGTCAACTGCTTGGTTTCCAGATGCTTGGGATATGGCTATAAAAGAAACAATATTATTTGTTGTTTCTGGTTTGGAGCATACATTGTTATTCTAAGCGGCTTACTTTGCAATAAGATAGATGATAAAGTTAGTGAATCCCATGAAATTTAGCCCATTGTACATCTTATTTTACCAAAAGTCTGCTCCTTGTTCAGGAGCAATATTGCATAAGATTCCACGATGAAGTTTTCAGAAACACCACAGATTGTAGAGTTATATATAGCATGACAGATAGAGAAATAAAACTCAAATCCAGCTTGTGTCTAACCTGTGTCATAAATTAGATTCCTTGAAAAGTAGACTTGGAGATAGGTTTGTGTGTAGGATGTTCATTGAAGGGTGCTCTAGGAACCATCAGCTCTGGATGGGTGAAAGGATGAGAACTGGAAGGAAGTTGTGAAACAATCATGCAAAGTCCTTGGCCAGCCCCTATAGGGAGTTCTAAATCTGGAATGGCCCTGCAATTTTGTCTTGAAATGGGGACACAGGGACTGGGCCTTTACATAGTTCCATCAACAAAGTCTTTAGAGTACAGAACATAAGAATTAATCCATGTTGGTGGATCCATGAATAAACTTTCCTTTATTTCCTGGTGCTTTAATTCATACTCCTAGGGCATACCATCTTTTATCTATCTGGTTATGAAGAACCACTGTACTAGAGGCCTTCTGGTGAGAATTTTCATGGGATGTATATATGCTCATACTTTAAGCTTATTCTGAGAGGTCTTCCCCAAACCTGTTGGCCGCAACCCTTCACACGTGGTCTAGTCATAGAAAACTCCCAGGAGTCTAGGTGTGTTGGAGGTAGTTACTATTGTGGCAGAAATGCACATATACTAAGAGTGGGAGCAATCCATTTTGAATCTTGGGACCTACTTGATCCTATTGCCTATTGTAATATCATTTATATCGCTACATTACAGGAGAGAAACCTTGATCGTAAGGAATTTAAATCTTTTATAATGGTCAGAACCACACTTGTCCTGCATGTTTGCCTTTGCTCAGCAGCAAAATTGGTATCAGGAGGAGATACCAATTCTATGTTCAAAATTTTTCTCTTGCCAAGATAGCCTGGAAAAAATGTCAGTCAGTACTTCTATTCATAAGACATGCATAAATGGAAGAGACTCACTGAGAATTGCCCCCCAACAAATGCATTATCATTTTATATATTGCTGAATTAGATTGCTAATATTCTATGTAGAAATTTTGCATCCATTTTCACATTTGTGATTGGTTACACTTTTCCTCTCCTCTAATGTTTTAGTCAGGCTTTGGTGTCAAGTTTTGTTGGCTTCATGAAACCAGTTGGGAGTATTCTTTCATTGTTCTCTTGAAAAATTTGCATAATATCGATATTATTCTTTGTTCACATATTTGGTGGATTTCACCAGTGATGCCATCAGAGTTTGGAGTTTTCTAATTGAGAAGGTTTTAAATTATACATATATAATCATTAGAAGATTATATAGAACTGTTCAGATTATCTATTTTTGTGTGTCAATTTTATTAAGTTCATGACTACCAATTTGTCAAATTTATATAATGATAAATTTATTGGCAATATTTTTATAACATCCTTTTTGAAATATTGGAAAATCTTTGTTCCAAGCTCTCGGCAAATAATTAGGAGCCAAAGGAAATGTTCTTAAATTGTTAAAAGAGTTTTACAAAAAAATCTAAAATGAACATCCTACTTAATGGTAAATATTTTAAAGATTTTCTTTTAAGATAAAAAGCAAAACAAGTTTGCATTTTATTACTATTATATTTAACATTATACTGGGGTTCTTAGCCCATGAGCAAGGCAAGAATAAATAAAATAAGTTCTAGAAAGGGAAGAGTGCAATCATTATTATTTGCAGATAACATAATTGTCTGTGTAAAGCAGCTAAACATTTACAGACAAATTATTAGAATAAAAGAGCTTAGCAAGGTAAATAAATATAGATTTACAAAAATTTCTCTATACAAGTAGCAATTAATAAAAATGATATTTTAAAGTATATACCATTGGTAATAGAATCCAAAAAAAGAAATAAAAGGCATACAGACCAGAGAGGAATAAATACAACTATCTTTATAGGCATGTAACATGATTATCTAAGATAAATATCCCCAAGAAAATTTTTAAAAATTCAAAAAAAGTGAGTAGATTTAGCAAGGTCACAGTATACAAGACCAATACACATGCATTAGCTGAATATCTGCATTCTAGACATGAGTAACTGAAGTTGAAAGAAATAATACCTTTTACAATGGCTTCAAATCATAAAAATATTAAGGGATGAATCCAACCAAATATGTACATCACTTATATGCTGAAAACTAAAAAATTTGGATAAATCAAGGAAAAGATAAATAAGTGGAGACATAAACCATGTTCATGTATTTGGAGAGTCAATATTTTAAAAACATTCATTATTTTCATTTTAATCTAGCAATTCAATGCAATCCCAATTAAAATCACAGCAGGCTTCTTATATACATTGACAAGATAATTCTCACTTTTATATGGAAATATAAAGGAATAGAATAGAATAGAATAGAATAAAACAACTTTGAGAGAAAGAGAAAGGTTTGGAGGACTCATACTACCTGAGTTAAAGACTTAAAATTTCTGTGGCCTAGACAGTGTAGCACTAGAGGAAGAATAACATAATTCAACAGAAAAGGATAAGGTACAGAAATAAATCTACATACAGATGCTCAATTGATTTTTGAAAAAGTGTCAAGATAATTCAATGAACAAAGAATAGTTTTGTCAACGAATCTTGCAGGAACTCTTGGACATCCTGATATGGTTTGGCTGTGTTGCCACCCAAATCTCATCTTGAATTGTAGCTCCCACCGTTCCCACATATTGTGGGAGGGGCCCAGTTAGAGGTAATTCAATCATGGGGGCAGGTCTTTCGCATGCTAATCTCATGAGGGTGAATAAGTCTCTTGATATCTAGTGATTTTATAAAAGGAGTTTCCCTGCACAAGTTCTCTTCTCTTGTCTGCTGCCATGTGAGACATGACTTTCACCTTCCACCATGATTGTGAGGCCACCCCAGCCACATGGAACTATGAATGAGTCCATTAAACCTCTTTCTTTTGTAAATTGCCCAGTCTTGGGTATATCTTTATCAGCAGCATGAAAACGTACTAATACACATCCACATGCAAAAATGAACCAGTCTGTACTCCACACCATATACAAAACTTAATTTGAAGTAGACTTAAATGTAAAACCTAATCATGTGAAATTTCTAGAAGAAAACATAGAAGAAAATCTTTATGATCTTGTGAGAAGTATTGGTTTCATAAATAGGGCACACACATACCCACACAACAATAAAAAAACCACAAAAGATTACTCTTCATCAAAATAAAAATCTGCTGTTCACAATACATTGTTAAGAAAATTAAAATACAAGGTAAAAACTAGGAGAAAATATTTGCAAAACACCTATTTGTGAGGTCTGGTATCTAGATTACATAAAGAACTCTCACAATTATATAATATAACAATAAACAACCCAATCAAAAGAAGCAAAAGATTTGAGTAGACACTTCACCAAAAAGAGGTATGCGTAAGCACATAAAAACATGCTCAACACTATTAATCATAAGAGAATTGAACACTAAAAGAATAAATGAGATTTACATACTTACTAAAATGACCAAAATTAAGCAAACCGACAATGCCAAGTCAAAGATGCAGAGCAACTGGAACTCTCCTATGTTGCTGTTGAACAAGCAAATAGCTATAGTTTCTTTGGAAAACAGTTCGGCAGTTTGTAAGGTGGTTAAGCATCACCTTAATATATGACCCCATAAGTCAACCCTTAGGTTTACACAAGAGAACTGAAATCTTATGTTCACAGAGAGGACCATTTGCAAATGTTTATAGCAGCTGTATTTTTAATCACTGAAATATGGAAACAATCCAGATGTCTATCACCTGAGGAATGGATAAATAAATTGTGGTACCTTTATACAATGGAATACTATTTAGCAATAATAAGAAATGAATTGTGATATATACAACAGTATGGTGAATTTAAAAAGCATTATGTTAATTTTAAAAGCCAAACACACAAAAAACTACATTCTGTATACCATTTATATGATATTTTGGAAAAGACAAAATGTTGGGGACAGAATTTAGATCAACTAGAGACTAGGAGTGGAAATGATATCACAAAGTATCACAGGTCAATTTTAGGAAGCAACAGAAATACTTTTTTTTTTATCTTGATGGTGACAGCTCTGACTATATTTGTTAGTTAAAATCATATATTTAAAAATAATTTTTATGTAAATTATACCTCAATAAAAATAGATATATACTATTTCAAATAGCATCCAGACACTAAGAAACTAGTAATAAATTTAACAAAAGATGTGCAAAATATATGAAGAAAGTTATAAAACTTTACTGAGCAATATTAAAAAGACCTAAAAATGGAGAAATATATAAATTGAAGGATGGAAATACTAAATTTGGGTCAATTCTCCTCAAACTGTTTTATAAATTCAATGTAATATGAATTAAATCCCAAAAGGATTTTTAAAGTACTTGACAGCTAATTCTGAAATATGTATGGAAATATAAAGTAATAAGAGTAGCTAAGATGTTGTTGAAGAAGGAAAACAAGGTAGCAGCTCTGAAATTCTAGATACCAGACTTAAAGCTATTCTAACCAAGACAGCGTGAATTGACATAGAGATAGAAAAAGAGAGGCGAAATGAAGAAATGTGTATGTGGGAGTATTGACACTTGCTGTATGACAGATGTGACACAGTATATCAGTGGAGAAATAAAGGCCTTTCAATCAATGGAAAAACCGGAAATTGAGCATCTGTATAAAAAACAGGGCTGGGCACAGTGGCTCACGCCTGTAATCCTAGCACTTTGGGAGGCCCAGGCGGGTGGATCATGAGGTCAGGAGATCAAGACCATCCTGGCTAACACGGTGAAGCCCTGTCTCTACTAAAAAATACAAAAAATGAGCCGGGCATGGTGGCGGGCGCCTGTACTCCCAGTTACTCGGGAGGCTGAGGCAGAATGGCGAGAACCCGGGAGGCGGAGCTTGCAGTAAGCTGAGATGGCGCCACTGCACTCCAGACTGGGAGAGAGAGCAAGACTCCGTCTCAAAGAAAAAACACACACACACACAAACAAACAAACAAAAACAGAATTAGGCTCGCTCTTGCATCATAGTCAAAAATACATTCCCAATGGAATAAATAGTTACATATGAATGACAAAGCTAAACAACCTCAGAAAGGTGCTATAGGAGAACAACTTGCAGTCTTCAGATTGGTTAAGAGTTCTAAACTTCAACAACATTAATGTTGGCAAGCATGTGAAGCAATAGGAATTCTCAAGCTGCTCATCAGAGTGTAAATTTGATTTATCCAGTATGAAATATCGTTTGGCAGTATGTGTGAAAGTTGACTGTAAACATGCCCTATAGTCCAACAATTCCACTGTAAGCAGCAACATTTGTAGTAGCCAAAAGCTAGAAGCACCCCAAATGCCCATCAAGAGAATGGCTAGATAAATTGCAGCAAGTTCATACAATGGAATATTATATAGCAATGAAAATAAGCAAACTAGAACTACATGCGACAGCATGGATTAATCTTAAAAATACAATGTTAAGTGCGAGTGTCAAGATGCCAAAGAAACCATACAGTATAACTGTATTCAAATAAAGTTCAGAAGTCAGAAGAGTGGCTACTTCTGAGGAAGAAAGGGGTTTTGATTTAAAGGGACACTTTGGTGAAGGGTTTTTTTATGGAGCTTGTAACATTCTATATCAACCTAAGTGGAGTTAATGGGTGTTTGCTTGAAAATTATTTAGCACAAATATTATTGTGTCTTTTCTGTATGTAGGTTATATTTCACATAAACATAATTTGAAAAGCAAAGCACAAAACAGAAATATTTGGGCACTTACCCCATAATTATGCAGTCATGTGTACTTTTCCTAACCTTTGAGATGGAAGATGAAATGTATAGCACTGGCCTTTGACTGTCAAATCTCTCTAGGAAGTTGGCATCATGGGCAGTTACTCAGTCTGACTTGTCATAGCAGCCACACAGTGGGAATAGACTTTATGGTGCTATGATTATAGTAGTCATGCCTATTTATATCCTCAGCACTATAACTCATTGATTAGCAGATAAAAACTGTTCAGTGCATGTTTTCTGAATGAACGACTAAATAAATGAAGAAGTGAATGAATTAACAGCACCTCTCACTGAAGCCTACCACCTCACTGCAGAGCCTGGAAAACCAGTTGACTTCCCTGGAATAATTCCTTAATGGAAAACTATAAATAAATTTTAAGGAATAATTACCCTCAACTCTTTGGACTTGGGAGTAATTTTTAAAATAATCTATGAACCTTTAAAAGTCACGAGGAAACTGAGACTCATCTAAGAACTACTGAATCAGTCTGCTGAGGTAGGACCCTACCTGGTGTTTTAAGAAAGCATCAGAGAATATTCTAAGTCATTCCCCTGAAATGCTACATAAAGAACACTAAATAACCAACTCTACTAACTTCACAATTATCTAAAACTTTGAGAATATCTTTTTTTCCCCTTTTCAAATACAACTTCTGATAGATTTCTGTAAAAACATACCAAATCAACCCACTTTCTACCTTTTATCGGTTACAGATTCCCATTCAGAAGCAAAAAGGCTCTCCATGGTAAGCAAATATGTAATTAAGATTTACTTTGGTTCAGTGAAAATATGCCTTCTTTCTAAAGAAGTCCCCAAGGCTAGGTTCAAAGTAGGCAAGGTTAGATATGGTGGATTTATCGGTAAATTTAGCCCAATGTAAGAGGCATGTCTTCAAACCTATTAAAGATGGTGCTTATGTGATAGTCTGTGATGTCTTCCGCCTAAGGATTTGGGCAATCCGTGCACTTTACTTCAGCCTTGAAAGTGGATTTATAAGAGAGAAAAGGAAAGTGCTGGGATTTTTTGTTTTCTTGGTTTAACATCCTCCCTTTGACCACATAATAGTCCCCAAACTCACACAAGCAGTTCCATATGGAGATGAGGAATGTCTAGCCAAAACAAGTTGTTCAGCTTATTAGCCTTGGGCTGAATAAGTTACTCAGAATATCTGGCATGACAACCCCATTTGAAAAGGAGGGGTGGGATGGCTGTGTTTGCCTTTTCATTCTCCCCCTAGAGTTTTAGAGGAGAAAACAAATAGTGAGGCAACACTGCAGGCCAGAAGCCCTGTGCTCAACTGTTTTCTCTGACCATTTGAAAAGCCTCCCAAGAACAATGACCCAGATTTCTTTGCACTTGACTGGCTGCAGAGAGACGGGCACATTGCACAATTTTCATTGTTGTCTAGTTTCACATTTGATCCTTCTTGGACAAGACTATCAAGTTGCTTTGGTGTGAATCTTGGCAGAAAAAGCTTCTTCTCTACACGAATTTGAAATACTGAGAAAGGCTAAATAAATTGGCTCCAACTGTAAGCTCTATCGTAGAGGAGATGTAAGACCACAGGAGAATTAGAATACATCTTATTTTTGAGATCTTCTTGAGATGAAATTAATTTTTATAACATATAGGGAGTGTAAAATTGTGTTTAAGTGTAATTATAATGTTATTTGAGGTCCCCCCCCCACCGCCGACACCCCAATCAGTTGGGTAAGAAACTCAGTTAATCCCTCTGTCTGTAGTTCAAGTATTAATTGGCACATCATGCAGTTATTCTGCTTATCCATTTTGGCATCATTCAGATTTACAAAATAAAGGACATGTAGTTTAGTATTAATTTAGTATTAATTTTTCCATCAGCTCTTACACATCATGCCCATCTGCTCAACCTTCTCTCTTTTCTTTCCTTCTTTCTTTCTTTTCTTTCCTTCTTTCCTTCTTTCCTTCCTTCCTTCTTTCCTTCTTTCCTTACTTCCTTCCCTTTTTCTTTCTTTCTTTTTCTTTCATTTTCTCTTCCTTCCTTCATTTTCTTTTTCTTTCATTTTCTTTCCCTCCCTCCCTTCCTTCCTTCTTTCCCTCCCTCCCACCATCCTTCCTTCCTTCTTCCCTTCAGTCTTTCTCTACCCCTCCCTGTCCTTCCTTGTTCTTTCCTGCTCTCCATCTCTCTTTCTTTTTTTAAAAAAGCACATGCATACCTTAAGAGAATCTTTGAAACTAGTTCTGAAGACTGTTAAATGTAAGTAATAAAAGATTCCTTCTACAAATATAATTCATAAAAGAATAAATTTTGAAAAAAAATTTAAACCACAAAATTTCTAGTCTCCCTGTCTTTTTTAGAAAAAAAAATATTGACTTTTTTGAGGAAGATGATCTAGTAAATAATGCTGAATTCTGCAGCATTTTAACTAGGTTAAACCCCATGACAACTAAGTGGAAGACCCCTGTGGAAAAGCATATGGTAAATTACATATCCACTTGTTCTGTAAAATAATTTTATGTCCCATTAATTCAACATAACAAAACCCAAGAGACTAAGTGACACTTCTAGGCAGCAGTGAAGAGCAATTGTGGCAGCACCCTACAAGAATGTTCATTTTGCATGGCTGCAAAACATTTGCATGATATACAATTTGCCAATAATTACCCTGACATTTTGATGGAGCCTGACTTCCATATTTGTAAATATTTGTGGTTGCTAAGTAACCAGTTATACTTATTTACATTTGTGTACAATGTCATTTTGTGGCAAAGGAGAGTTTTAGACTTTACAGCCAAGGGACACTACCTTCTAATAGATGCCTTCTAAGGAGTTTCTAATAGAAATCTTTTATGTAACGTATTTATGTTGAAAAATTTCAACCCTTTTCACAACTGAACACTTCTGGTTTATTATATTGCTTTTTCTAACACAGACTGTTTATATGGAACAAGATATTCTCTTCTACTCTGATTCATTCATTCTTTATTTCAACATACTTTTAAAAATTATTTTGTTTTAGATTCAGAGGGTACACGTGCATCTTTATTACATGGGTATATTGCATACTGGTGGGGATTGGGTTTCTAGTGTACTCATTAGCGAACACTGTACTCAATAGGTAATTTTTCAACCCTTAGCCCTTCCTGCCCTTTCTTCTTCTGGAGTCCCCAGTGTCATTTATCTTATTTTTATGTCCATGTATACCCATTGCTTAGCTCCCACTTGTAAGTGAGAACATATGGTATTTGGTTTACTGTTTCTGAATTAGTTCACTTAGGATAATGTCCTCCAGCTCCATCCATGTTGCTATAAAGGACATGATTTCATGCTTTTTATGGATGCATAGTATTCCATGGTGTGTATACATATATATATATATACACACACACACACATATATATATATATATATACACATCACAATTTATTTATCCAGTCAACTGTTGATGGACACTTATATTATCAACAGACACTTTTGCAAGACCATATATTAGGTCCTTTGGGCAATTTGAGGATTGTCCTACCTTCTCCTAAGAGTTTAATAGAGAAGATAAGATCCATGAAAAAAACTCAAGTATGCATATAACCTAATTGCCCCCAGGTCTCCCTAGCCAATGAGGACTGAAATATCCCACCTGCTCTAATAGGAACTGCACACAGGAAGCATCCCCATCAAACATTTCTGGGAGATCCTAAGGAGTGCTTTCCATATGTTCACAAACCAGGTTGTCAGCTCATGTTACTATGAGGTATTGATCCTGCCTTTCTTCTTCTATATTGGCTTCCTTTATTTTCGTCTTCTTCTTATAAAGCCCCTTGAACAGTCTTCACATTTACTCACCCCTCAGATACTTCATGAGTACTTCCTGTAAGACAGGCACCCCTTTCTTCTAGAGGTAAGTAATAAACACTTTGGGAAAAGCCCCTGACTCTTGGCACTTTGTGTATATGTGGTTGGGGGAAGGGTTAAGGAAAGGCAAATCAGATGATTTCAGATAGTGACAAATAAGGGAGCAGGCATAGTGATACATGCCTGTAGTCTTAGCTACTCAGAAGGTGGAGGTGAGAGTACTACTTAAGCCCAGAAGTTGAGGCTACAGTGAGTTATAATTGCACCACTGCACTCCAGCCTGGGTGATAGAGCAAGAGCAAGATCCTGCCTCTTAAAAAAAAGTGACAAATAGGGTAGATGACACAGAGGTTGGTGAAAGGGGTTACAAAAAGTGAGCAAGACTCTCTGAAGAGGAGGCATTTGACTTGATGAGAAGTTGCTACTGATGTTAGCATCCATGAAGAGAATGCCAATTGCATGTCCAGGGTATTGTGGATATTGTGGTTCTGTCATTGCTAATCCTCAACTTTTGGATTGCAGATATTCCCTCAACTCCTCAACTTTTGCCATACTTTGTTATCCAGACCCCAAAGAGCACACTTGTTTCCAATACCATTATGTCTTTCATCCATACAACTCCTTCAGCTCTGCGGATATGGACAGACACCATGCCAGTAGTTCCATACCCTCATCTCCCTCCTCCCCAGGTGCTAATCAGGATTTGGGGGGACTGACACCTATAAAATCAGGGCCTTCTTCAAGAAAAAGAACATAATATGAATACAAAATTATGTACAGAGAATTGGAAAGGAGCCAAGCTTAGTCCTTTTTTGGTTGGCAACAGGAGGCTCCATGCAGAGTAACCCATACACACAGAATCCCAGGAAGCACTCTGCACAAGCCACATTCAGAGTCTCAGTTTGAGACCCTGTGATACAAAATAAAAAGACGCACTTACTATATGATTGATAAAGGCAAAGAGAGATAGGAGTTGAGAAGAGGGAAAGATTGCATCCCAGTGGAGGCAATCAGTAGACACTTTATGCAAAAGGTGCTATCTGGGCTGCAACTTAAAGGATGAATAAAATTTGCGTACTCAGAGATGATGGAACAACTTTACTGAGAGCCTCATCTGTGCATAGTGCTTCCATATCCTATAACACCCTTTTCAAGAACATCCCACAGTGGGAAGCTTCATTTTACAGATGATTATGCTAAAGGCTCAAAGTTATATAAATGATATTGCATAAGTTGCTAACTTATTTAAGTCATGTTTCCCACTCAGGCTCGTCTGAGTTGAGTGCTTTTTCCCTTATGCCAGGCTGACTCTCATTTTGAGCAAAGGACTAAGGATTACAAACCTTGAACAAGCATAGAAACAAACAGTTGAGGTACTGGCTGAATCACAAGGAGTAGGGATCAATGGAGTTGGAAAAATAGTTCAGGAACAGGTTAATGAGGGCTTAAATGTTACTTAGCACGTTGCATTTTATTTTATATTAATACATGTAAATAAACAATATCACAAATCATGGCCAAGTTCCATCAGCATAACCTCTCGCTGCATGTGAATACAGTAAGGGCACATTGCAGTGAAAACACAGCTTGCATTAATTTCTACAAGAGCTACTCAGATATAATATCAAGAGTGCTGAAAAATAATCAACATTTTACTGATGTTTGAAATGCCATGATGGAAAATTCGTCCTTTGTCCCCTGTTAAACTCTTACCTCTGAAAGGGGCAAAAATTACTGTATTTGAGATTATTAACTTGTTCCCTGGGAGCAGCCTTAGAGAAGCAGGCAGCATGAGGGTAGAGGCTGAGGGAAATTTAATGTCATAAACAAGAGGAAACGCCACAATTTTTGGTTGTACCTTTACTTTCCATCATGTGGCTCAGTCACACCCTTGTTCTCCTCTAAGTAGAAAGACAATCCAGAGCCAAAGCCACAGGTACAATGGATCTGTGTTTCAAGTAAGGAAGAGCCACTCTGTTCTGTTGAAGTCATCTCTGGAGCAAGCTCTAGAGCAGGGAAGCAGTGTGTAACAAGCAGAGAGGAGGGAGAACTCTAGCAAGTGGAGGATGACAGCAGACTCCCTCCCGGGAGCAGCAGCTCCTGTGGTCTCATTGCTGGTGGGCTGTCAGCCTCTTCCCAGCTGCTTCCTGGTGACTCCTGCTGGGTGTGTCTGGGAGGCTTCATACACTTTGATTCCAACTGCATTTTGTTATTCTCCTTGAGAGGTTTCTCATCTGGGATCCCATGTGGGGACTGGCAGAGGCATGTGTTTCTGTTTGTAAGGCTAGAGAAGATGTTAAGAAAAAATTGTTAAAGGAAATGCAAAGTCCATATTTTGTTCTAGAGAGAACCTTTGGGCTACTTGGTCATTAAATGTTGCCAAGCTCCATCTGGCAACTCAGCCTTGATTTTGCTATTAAGCAAAAATAAGCAACATTCCACAAAGTTGTGCAATCTGTTGACTGGACTTCATAGGTTTGTTAAGAATGTCAGGGAGGGTCCATCAAGGACTGCACATTGTACTTGTTTCTCTAGAGCATGAGCTTCTGAGGATAGGAGCCACATCTTTCTATCAATTACTGAAGCTAGTTTAGTGTTTTGATTTAAATTTGTGGAATGAGTGAATGAATGACTAGATTTAATCCCTGATTGAAATGAATCTTGACATGAGGCTCTTCTGTAAATGATCTTATCTGTGATCATGCAAACCGAGGAGTCCAGAGTGCATGTGAGATAAAGAAATGTAACCTTGAAGGAAGAAATGTATAGCTGAAGTTTTGTTTTTTTGTTTTGTTTTGTTGTTTTTCTTTTTTTTTTTTTTTTTGAGATGGAGTTTCACTCTTGTTGCCCAGTCTGGAGTGCAGTGGTGCAATCTCGGCTCACTGGAACCTCTGCCTCCTGGGTTCAAGTGATTCTCCTGCCTCAGCCTCCCTAGTAGCTGGAATTACAGGTATGTGCCACCACGCCTGGCTAATTTTGTGTATTTAGTACAGATGGGGTTTCTCCATGTTGGTCAGGCTAGTCTCAAACTCCTGACCTCAGGTGATCTGCCTGCCTCAGCCTCCCAAAGTACTGGGATTACAGGCGTGAGCCACCGTGCCCAGTCTAGCTGAAGTTCAATTCTGAGTTTTGCTTGTAAGTAGAAAAGAAATCCAGCTGGCCAGGCGTGGTGGCTCTCACCTGTAATCCCAGCACTTTGGGAGGCTGAGGTGGGTGGATCACCTGAAGTCAGGAGTTCAAGACCAGCCTGACCAATACAGTGAAACCTTATCTCTACTAAAAATACAAAAATTAGCTGGACGTGGTGGTGTGCACCTATAATCTCAGCTACTTGGGAGGCTGAGACAGGAGAGTTGCTTGAACCCAGGAGGCAGAGGTTGCAGTGAGCCGAGATCGCGCCACTGCACACCAGTCTGGGCGACAGAGACAGAGCAAGACTCCATCTCAAAAAAAAAAAAAAAGAAAGAAAGAAAGAAAAGAAATCTACATACACCATCAAGTGATGATGATTCGTGTCAGACACTAATAACAGAGTAAATGCCATAACAGAGTAAATGTGGTGAAATGATCATATGAATTTCATTCGTGCTCCTTTCCTCTTCAAAATGCTTTGATAGCTGCCCAAACCACCTTCTGGAAAATAACAAACACATTGGCCAGATTTGCATCACCTTCTCTTAGAAACTGCTTTTCATCTAAAGGAACATGTTCAATTGGACAAACATGAGCTCAAATCCCACCTTCTACTACTTCCTAGTTATGTAACCTAATTTCCTTTTCTTTTTAGGCCTCAGCTGCTTTATCTGAAAATCATTGGAAAAAATAGCCGTTCTTTATCAGAAAATTTGACTTTAAGAGGTTTCATATGGCAAAGCCTGGAAGAAAAAGACATTTTCATAAAACCCATCTAAACCCATAAAACTCAGAATTCACCTCATAATTATTCTCAACTCCATTCATTTGACATTTACTGTGGATTGTCTGATTCTTAATTAATACTATGCAATGACTGTTTATGTTACCCCAAAATTCATATGTTGAAACCCTTATCCCCATTGTGACTGTATTTGGAGGTGGGACCTTTGGGAGGTAATTAGGGTTAGATGAAGTCATAAGAACAGAACCCCATAATGGGATTAATGCCCTTATATAAAATGGAAGAGACACAAGACTAATCTGCCTGTGTATACCAAGGAAAGGCCATGTGAGGACATAAAAGGGAAAGGGCTGTCTTAGTTCACAAGAATACAAGATTAATCTTGTGTCTCATCTGTTTTATATAAGGGCACTTATTTATCATTTATTCTGCTATTACGGAATACCGGAGACTGAGTAATTTATAAAAACAAAAATTTATTTCTCATATTTCTGGAGGCTGGGAAGTCCAAGATCAAGGTGCTGGCATCTGTTGAGGGCCTTCAGAAGAGAAAGAGCGAAAAGGAATGAGTGTTGTGTCTTCAAATGGCAGAATACAAGGTGAAACCACTCCACTAAGCACTTTTAATAGCAGCATTAATCCATTCATGAAGAGAGAACCCTTATGATCTAAACATGTCCCAAAAGGTCCTGCTTCCCAATACGACTGCATTCGGTATCAAGTTTCTGACATGAATTTTGGGGGCTACATTCAAACCATAGGTAGGGCCCTCATGAAGACGCTGACCATGTTGGCATCCTGATCTCAGATTCCCAGCTTCCAGAACAGCAAGAAACACATTTGTGGGTTAAGCCACCCAATCTGTTGTATTTTATTACAGCAGCCTGAACTAAGAGTATCAGTTATTTTTCAATAAGAATAGCTACTATATACTAAAATATGTAGTACAATAGTCACAAGTACTAGACCCTAGCTCTGCTGCTTGCTAATTGTGTACTGTGGGCAATCACTTTACTATTTTATGTCTCAGGCCTTCACTGAAAAAATGAAGATAAAAATATAATGGTTGTTTTAGTTCATGTAAAGTGCTTAGCAAAGTATCACATAATAGTAAATATTCAATAAATGTTAGCTACCATTATCACCTATTTACTATGCATCATCAGGTATTATACCTTACATACCTTATCTCATTTAACCTCACAACCACACAATGAAATAGATACTACTATGTCGATTTCAGAATTAAAACAAAGCAAAACTATAACTTACAGAAGTTGAAGAACATGTTTAATGACACTATTGTTAAATGGTGGAGCCAGGATTCAAGACAAGATGCATATAAATTTCAATGCCTATATTCCCAAACATCCTGATTTTATTGGTCTGGGGTAGAGCCCAAGAATTGATATATTTAAAAATGTTGTTGATTTCCTATATAGCTGGGGTCGAGAACCCCACTAATCTAGAGATTTTCAGTTTTCACCTCCTCCAACCGCCTCGCCCTCACCCAAAGTAATGAATTAGAATTTCTCAGAGTACTGCTTAGAAAACTGCATTTTAAACAACCATTCCAGGTGATGGTCAGACTATCTTGGCCATCATTACTCTGTGTATATATTTTTTCCTCTAACAGATGGCCAATTCCTTAACATCACTTATGTCTTCCTCATAGGAGTATTTTTAGCATTTAGTTCAGTGTGTTACAGTCTTAGCAAAATAAGTTTCTATTGGTTGTTGAATGGTTAAGGACACTGTAAGAATGAGGTTGCTGAGAGAGGTTTAGAGTGTGAAATATGGCTGAGAGGACAACTCAGGTGTGGTATACAGGTGAATGATATTGAAGAGTTTTAAGGCACCTGTATTCCTGCGCAGAAAGATACAGAAAGCTGGGCATAGGGCTTAAGCCATGCTCTCCATAGTACTGAACTATTTACTATGTAAATCAAAACAGTAGATAATTCAGAATAGTGCCTTAAACCAGTCATAACAACAGCCTTCTTAGTTTACAGTCGGGGCAAATGAACTTTCTTTCTTTCTTATTGTTATCTTCTCAAATACATTTTCTTTCTGCCACTAAATCTGTTATGCTTTCAATCACCTGCATCTTTCATCTGAATACTGAGAATCCATAATAGAAGCAAGCCCACATTGAAGGTTAGGGCTTAGCAGAGGTGGCCTGTGTGAAGTCCAGTAGATCCTGAGCTTAGATCACAAAAATAGCTGACTTGAAGTTAGGACCTGGCCAGATTTCCCAGCTTTGAGAAATATAAACTGAGTGTACACTTCATCAACAAACTTAGCTCTTGCTTCAGTATGAAGCTTTAGACATGGAGCACTCTTCTACATATGAAGCAAAGCCTTTTGGGTTTTTGCTTAGTTTTCAATTGCATTGGTTGCAGATGACTGTTAAAAACAAACAAGAAACCAATTCAGTGCTCTCTGGGAAAAGACCAAATATGAATGTTCTGTTTTCATTCACATATGTTTTCCATTTATTGGAAACTGTAGAAATTCATCTATGCTATTGATTCTGACAATGAATATTAGGAGATCTTAAAAGGCCTTTGGAGATTGAAGCAGAAATAAAATTGACACATTTTTAAAGGAGTTCTTCATCCCTGTTCCCTTCTCAAATACTTTCCCTTATTTTATTAATGTTTTCATGATCAGAAATGGAGGAAAAATCACGAATGTATTAGACTTTTATACACATTTCCATGTCTTTCATCTCAATTATCTCTAATATATGTGGGTGATTTTATTCATCTGGACTTGCTATATGCCTTTTTGTTATGCTTTTGCAGTTTGTCCATTTATTTATATTTTTCTCTTTATTCTTTTTTGAGTAAGACACTGCCAAGAGAGTCTAGTACCTAATTAATGAAAAAAGAGTCTACAAAGGTTATTTGAAAACACTCAGGTTGTTTGTAAACATGAGTTGTCATGAGGTATTGTTTTGAATGGCCAAATCAATCATAATTTTAAAGATTTATTTTAGTCAAATTTGGGGTTTGTTTATATTTGTATAGATTTATAGAAGAAAATATTCTATTCAAGCTATTTTGATTGAACTGAAAAGACCCATCTTCACCCATCTCCCCTGTGACCTTTATTTCTTTGGAGGAGTTTTCTAGCAAGTTAGTTGCTAGTAAAGGTCTCTCTCTTTTTTTTTTTTTTTTTTAAGAGATGGCATCTTGCTATGCTGCCCAGGCTGGTCTTAAATTCCTGGCCTCAAGCAATCCTCCTACCTCAGACACCTGAGTAGCTGGGATTACAGGTGTGAGCCACAGCACCTGGCTCTTTTTTAAAAGTTATTATGGTAAAAGAAACATAACACAAAATTTACCATCCTAACCATTTTAAATGTACAGTTCAGAAGTATTAAATACATTTATAATGTTGTGCAACCACCACCACTTTCCATCCACATAACCCTTTTCATCTTGTGAAACTGAAACTGTGTACCTGTCCAACAATAACTGCCTGCCCCTTTCTTCTCTCCAGACCCTGGCAATCACCATTCTATTTTTTTGTATCCATTTTGACTGCTCTAAGTACCTCATATAAGTGGAATCATATAGTATTTGTATTTTTGTGACTTGTTTATGTCACTTAGCATACACAAAGTTCATTCATATTGTAGCATATGTGAGAATTTTCTTCCTTTCAAAGTCAACACTCCATTGTCTGTATATGCAAAATGTAAATTTTGCTTATCTTTTCATCCATCAGTGGATACTTAGGTTGCTTCCACATTTTAGCTATTGTGAATAATGCTGCGATGAACATGGTTTTACAAATATCTCTTTAAGATCCTGCTTTCAATTCTTTTGGGTATATACCCAGAAGTAATGTTGCGAGATCATATGGTAATTCCATTTAAATAATTTTGAGAAACTTTCATACTGTTTTCAAGAGCAGCTGTACCATTTTATATTCCCTGCAGCAATGCACAGGGGTTTCAGTTTTTCCACATGCTAATCAACGCTTGTTATTTTCTATAGTTTTTGAAGGTAGCCGTTGTAATGGTTGTGAAGCAGTATCTCATTATAGTTTTTATTTGCATTTCTTTTATGATTACAGATTTTGAACATTTTTATGTGTGTATTGGCCATTTGTATATCTTCTTTGAAGAAATGTTTATTCAAGTTCTCTGTCCATTTTTAAATCTGGTTGTTTATTTTGTTGTTATGTTTTAGGAGTTCTCTCTATACTATAGATTTTAATTCCTTATCAGATATATGATTTGCAAATTTTGTTTCTCATTTTATGTTTGCCTTTATACTTTATCGATATCATCTCAATGCAGGAATTTTTACAATTTTCGTGAAGCCCAATTTGTCTGTTTTTTCTCTTGTTGCCTATGCTTTGCTGTCATATTAAATAAATTACTACCAAATTTAACACCCTGAAGTTTTTGACCTGTTTTCTTGTAAAAGTTTTATAGTTTTAGGTCTTACATCTAGGTCTTTGAACCAATTGAAGTGAATTTTTATATGGTATTAGGTAATGGTCCAACTTCATTCTTTTGCATGTGGATATCCAGTTTTCCAGCATCATTGTTAAAAAGACTGCCTGTCTGCTACCCATTGAATGAACTTGACACTCTTGTCAAAAATCATTTGACCATACAAAAGTTTATTTCTGGTCTTTATATTCTATTTCATGGGGCTATAATTGTTCCTATACCACTGCCACACTGTTTTGATTACTGTGGCTGGGTAGTAAGCTTGAAATCAGAAATTGTGAGTTCTCCAATTATGTCCTGTTTCAAGATTGTTTTGGCAATTTTGGTTTCTTAAGAATTTGTATGATTTTTAAGATTATTTTATTTCTGCAAAAAAAGTCATTGGAATTTTGATGGGGATTGCATTGAATTGATGGATTGATTTGAGTAGTATTTTTATCTCAACAATGTTAAGTCTTCCAATCCACTAACTTGAGATGCATTTTCATTTATTTTATTCTTTATTTTAGCAATGTTTCATACTTTTCAGTGTACAAGTCTTTCACTTCCTTGTCTAATTCCTAAGTATTTTATTATTTTTGATGCTATTGTAAATGAAATTGTTTTTGTAATTTCCTTTTCAGAGTGTTTATTGTTAAGTGTACAGAAATGCAATTGATTTTTATGTATTGACTTTGTATCTTGCTACTTTGCTGAATTTATTTATTAATTTCAACAGAGTTTTTGTGGAATTTTTAGGATTTTCTATATGTAAGACCATATCATCTACAGAGACAATTTTACTTCTTCCTTTCCAATTTGTATGCATACTATTATTATTATTATTCAGCCCAATTCCTTTAGCTGAACTTCCAGTACTATGTTGAGTAGAAGTGGCAAAATTGGGTACCCTTATCTTGCTCCTTATCTTACAGGAAAAGTTTTTTCACCGCTGAATATGATATTGCTGTGAGTTTTTCACATATGGCTTTTATTATGTTGAGGTAGCTTCCTTCTATTCTTAGTTTTTTAAGTGTTTTTATCATTAAATGGTGCTGAACTTTATCAAATGCCTTTTCTTCATCAACTGAGATGATCATGTTTTCACCCTTTAGTATGTTAATATAGTATATTACATTGATCTATTTTTATATGATGAACCATCCTTGCATTCCAGGAATAATTCTGCTTAATTATATTGTATAATTATTTCAATATGCTGCTGAATTTGGCTTGCTAGTATTTTGTTGAGAATTTTGCGTCAATGTTAATTAAAAATTTTGGTCTATAGTTTGTTTTTCTTGTAGTCTTATCTGGCTTTGGTATCAGGATCATGCTCACCTTATAGAATAAGTTAGGAAGTATTCCCTGCTCTTCAATTTTTTGAAAAAGTTTAAGAAATATTGGTGTTAGTTCTTATTTAAATGTTTGGTAGAATTCACAAGTGAAGCCATTGGGTTCAGGGCTTTTCTTGGTTAGGAGATTTTTTATTACAGATTCAATCTCCTCACTAGTTTTAGGTTTATTGAGATTTTCCATCTCTTGCTAACTTATTTGTATTTCTAGGAATTTGACTATTTCATTTAGGTTATTGAATTTCTTGGTGTATAATTGTTCACAGTACTCTCTTATAATCTTATTTCTGTAGAATTGGTAATATTATCTCCACTTTCGTCTCTGATTTTAATAATTTGAGTCTTCGATTTTTATTAGTCAATCTAACTACATGTTGTTAATGTTGATCTTTTCAAAGACTGAACTTTTGGTTTGATTAACTTTCTCTACTGATTTCCTATCCTCTATTTTTTTTGTCTATGCTGTAATTATTATCATTTCTTTCCAACTGCTAGCTATGGGTTTAGTGTGTTCTTCTTTTACTAGTTCTAAAAATTATAAAGTTAAGTTGTTGACTTGAGATATTTTTGTTTTTTAATGTAAGTATTTATAGCTATATATTTTCTCTTAACCATTGCTTTCACTATGTCTGATAAGTTTTGGTGTGTCGTGCTTTTGTTTTCATTTATCTCTAAGCATTTTCTCATTTCCCTTGTGATATCTTCTTTGATCCATTGGTTGTTTAAGGGTGTGTTGATTAATTTCCACAAATTTTTGAATTGTCCATTTTTATTTCTGTTATTAATATACAACTTCATCCCATGTCATCAGAGAAGATATTTTGGATGTTATATATCTTTTTCAATCTATTCAGACTTAATATTTGGTCTAACATATGGTCTATATTGGAAAATGTCCCATGCAAATTTGAGAAGATGTATGCTGTTGTTGTCTGGTAGAGCATTGTGTATATGTTCATTAGATTTAATTAGCTTATCGTGTTGTGTAAGTCCTCTATTTTCTTATCTTTTGTCAGGTTTTTCTATCTGTTATTGATTGTAGGGTACTGATTTCTTCAACTATTTGTAGAGCTGTCTACTTCTTTCTTCAATTCTATTTTTCTTCATATATTTTAATGTTCTGTTATCAGGTGTGTAAAAGTAAATAATTGCTTTATCTCCTTGCTCTATTGAAACTTTTATTAATATACGGTGTCTTTCTTTATCTGTTTTAATCCTTTTTTATTTAAAATCTATTTTGAGGCCAAGCACTGTGACTTATGCCTGTAATCTCAGCATCTTGGGAGGCTGAGATGAGAGAATTGTTTGAGACCAACCCGGGCAATATAATGAGAACCCATCTCTACAAAAAATTTAAAAAATAGCTAGGCAAGATAGTATGAGCCTATAATCCTAGTTACTGACGAAGCCGAGGAAACAGGATCATTTAAGCCTAGGAGCTATGATCATGCCACTGTCCTCCAGCCTGGGCCACAGAGAGAGACCTTGTCTCAAAAAACAAAAATGAACTTTGTCTGATATTAGCATGCTGCTCTTTTTTTGGTTACGATTTGCACAGAATATCTCTTTCCATTCTTTCCATTTTAGTGTATTTGCATCCTTGGTTGTAGAGTCTCCTATAGACAACATATAGTTACAGCATGTTCTCTTAGTCCCTTCTGTCAACGTCAATTCTTTCATTAAAGAAATTGATTTATTTACATTTAAACAAATTACTGATAAGGAGGAAGTTACTTCTGTCATTTTGCAATTTGTTTTATAGCATTTTGTCTCTCATTTTCTGCATTTATTGTCTTCTTTTATGTTTAGTTGATTTTTTTGTAGTAAACACTTAAATTCCTTTCTCATTTCCTTTTTTTGTATATTCTATAGTTATTTTCTGTGTGGTTACCATGGGGATCACATTTAACATCCTAAAGTTATAACACTCTAATTTGAATTTATGCAAGATAAACATCAATAAAATACAAAATCTCTGCTTCTTTAACAGTTCTATCCCCACTCCTTTTGGTCATTGTCACAAAATTACATTTTTATATATTATGTGCCCCAAAACATGAACTAATAATTTGTAATACATTAGTCTCTTAAATTATGTAGAAAAAAATGTGGAATTACAAACCAAAGTTACAATAATACTAGCTCTTAGAATTTTTTTTTAATGTATTAGTCTCCTAAGTCATGTAGGAAAACAAAAAGAATTACAAACCATTGTTATAATAGTAATAGCTTTTATACTTGCCCATGTATTTATCCTTATTGAAAACTTTAATTTTTCATACAGCTTTGAGTTACTACATAGTGTCTTTTCATTTCACCCTGCAGGATTCCCTTGAGCATTTCTTTCAGGGCAGGTCCTGTGGTGATGAACTCTTTCAGCTTTTGTTTATCTGGGAATGTCGTAATTTCTCCCTCACATTTGAAAGACAGGTTTGCCAGATGTAGTGTTCTTGGTTGACAGGGCTTTTTTCTTTTTGTACTTTAAGTATATTAGTTCACTGTTTTCTGACCTTCAATGTTTCTGATGAGAAATCTGCTGATAATCTTATTGAGGATTCTTGTATGTAATGAGTCACTTCTCTCTTGCTTCTTTTAACATTCTCTTTCACTTTGGCTTTTATAAGTTTGATTATATTATGTCTTGATGTGGGTCTCTATGATTTCATCTAACTTGGAATTCATTGAGATTCCTGTATGTTTATATTCATGTCTTTCATTAAATTTGAGGAATTTTCAGCTATTATTTCTTCAAATATTCTCTCTGACCTTTTCTCTTTCTCTTCTCCATCTTGGACTTCCACAGTGTATATTTTGGTCAGCTTGATGGTGTCCCAGAATTCCTTTAGGCTTTGTTCACTTTTCTTTATTTTTCTCTTTCTATTCCTCAGGTGTGATAGTTTTCCTTGTCTTATGTTCAAGTTAACTGATTCTTTCTTCTGCCTGTTTAAATCTACCTTTGAATTCCTCTAGTAAATTTTCTAGTTCAGTTATTATATTTTTGAGCACCAGAATTTCTTATTGGTTTCATTTTAGCTTTTCTACCTCTTTATCAATATTTTACTTTTACCTATTCATTGTTTTCTTGACTTTACTCACATCTTTCTTTAGTTCTTTGAGCACCTTTAAGATAAAAGCTTTAAAGCCTTTATCTAGTAGATTTGCCATCGGGTCTTTTTTCAGGGAATGTTTCATTTGATTTCTTTCTTTCTTTTTAATGGACCATAATTTCCAGTTGCTTTGTATGCCTTGTGATTTTTTGTTGTTGTTGAAAACTGAACATTTAATTTAAATATGTGATAATTCTGGAAATTCTCCCTGTTTCTCAGGGTTTGCTGTGAGGTTTTGCTTTTGTTTTTGTTTTTCCTTGTTTTTGTCTTTGTTTTGATAACTATAGGCTGTCTCTGTGCCAAGGATAAGCCTGAAGTATAAGCATAAGTTCTTCTCAGTACTTTTCTGAGCCTACATCTTTCCCTAGGTATGCATGGTCATTTTTATTGTTTTCCAGTAGATGCAACTACTTTCGACTATCCTAGTCTTTAATGTCTCTCGAAAGGAGAAAAAGAAAAGTAAAGAGGAGAAAGGAAAGGACACTGAACCCTTAAATCTTATGGAATCTACTTTAGCAAGAGAAGGGGCTTGCAACAATGGTAGGAGATGCAGCAACAATGATTGCCTTTCTCTTTGTCTACAGCTCTGTGATCAGAAGCAACAATCAGTGATCACAGCACATATCCCTGATATTTGCAGGACAGAGTCCTTTTTGTTTCACCATCACCTCCTGGACCATGGCTCTTACAAGCTGTGTGCAGGTTGCTTTAGGAATGTGTGCACAGCTGGCTGCCATAGGGATAGAGGTAGGGGATGGGTAGCTGTTATAGCTGACGTTGATTGAAATTAACTATAATTTACTGTCCAAGCATTACCATGGAAATTTCAAGCCTTTAATAGACCCAAGAGTTCCAAACTACTTATATTAGATATATTCTGTCAGTGAAGTGTTGTCTCAGTGGAAAGATAGATTCCTGGTTCTTCCTTCTCCACTATATTCCCAGAATCCTATAATGTTGCTTTTACATTGCTAAGTATTGGTCTTTATTGATCTTTCAAGAGACGTTCCAAATTTAGAGGCATGTACTGATTTATATTAGAATAAAATAAGGAAAACACTAGTGGGAGAAGCTTTATGTTCAAGGATAAGAAAACAGAAGGATTGACAAAATAACAATGGCATATGAGGACACATGCAACATTCACACAAGAATAGAATATGCATAATATCTGAATAAAGTAATGTTCAAACATTTGCTGCAATCTCTGTTGGCATAGCTGACTTTACTGCTCAAAAAATAAACTGAAATGGCCAGGCATGATGGCTCATGCCTGTAATCCCAGCACTTTGGGAGGCTGAGGCGGGTGGATCACCCGAGGTCAGGAATTCAAGATCAGCCTGGCCAACATGGCAAAACCCTGACACTACTAAAAATACAAAAAATTAGCCAGGTGTGGTGGCACGCACATGCAATCCCAGCTACTCAGGAGGCTGAGGCAGGTGAATTGCTTGAACCCAGGAGACGGAGGTTGCAGTGAGACAAGATCACTCTACTGCACGCCAGCCTGGGCGACAAAGCAAGACTCTGCCTGAAAAAAAATAAAATTAAAATAAACTGAAAGTTTGGAGATATCATTAAACATGAAGTAATAGCATTTTTACACTATACATCTTTTTGAAATCCCCTGAAAACAACAGAAATAACAAGAGAACTACCACAGTCCCAAACCACAAAATTGAAACATATCAGCAAAATGCTATAAAATCTAAAGCAAGATGAAGGAGGAATCTGAAAGCCGACATATAAGTCTCTAGACCTTGAGCAGGACACAAATCTTTTCTAACTGTATCAGAATCCAGAACAGTTCACCTAAGAATCCTAATATTAACATGGTTAAAGAAGGAAAGGATGTGAGTGCGCCATTGAAGATGTACATCAATTCTGTGTAAACTGATTTTTGACACCTCAGACTGGCCAAGGAAATAGGATTTAAAGAATAAAGAAAGCATGATGATACATTTTTTTCTTGTCCCTTTCCAGTTTCCTAAGTAAGTGAGAAAGAGGGAATAAAGGACACAAGAGCCAAAAAAAAAAAAAAAAAAGCCTAAAGAATATAAAACATGAGGCATTTTGCCGTGAGCTACTCCAGCCAGAGGAAGAAATAGGTTGAGTGAGAAGGTGTTCAAAATCCACAAATCATGACACTGTAGCAATTCCTATTAAACAAGTTTCATGGTGGTTGATCCAAGGGATTGAGTCAGTCTTTGTTTTGGCAGCTGAGAATCCCCAAACTGCATATTGGGAGAATATATTGAATTTTCCTTTTTACTTCTTAATTGTAGGAATCTATATAATGAAATAAAACATTATAACATAATTAAGTATGTCATGTATTTACTCAAAACATTAGTTCTTCTGAATTAGAACTGATTGACTTCTTATGCAAATCTCAGCACAGATCTTAGGAGATTTTTCTAGAGATATTTTAAAGTTAATTCATAGAAAATTCTTTTTAAAAATGGAAATAATAAATAAACATTCTATTAAGGGAAGTCTGCAAAATGGTTCAGAATGTACCACAGCCAAGCAAGAGAATAAAGGGCCATTTCTTTCTCTTGATAGAAAACAGGTGTCAATACCTGTTTAAATTCATAAGTCAAAAGCCTGGAGATGAGACTATAATTCTCTCCTAAATTCTTGAGATACTCCTTTTTCTTTATCTATCCACATACTCTCTAAGTGTTTAGCTGCTACAAGTCTTTCTGCCCATTTATTTCATATTTTTATGAACTCATAAAGCATTTAGCAAATAATGTACATACTTCATTACAAGTGTATCATCATTTGTGTCATCATTTAATTGCTTCATATATATCAAGAAATTTGTTTTTCAAACAAAATTAACACATTCTTGTGTTAATTATAAGCTCATATTATCATTAATAATTCCATGCCATGTTAAATTGGGAATACCTTGGTTGTACTTTTATCTCAATGGCCAGTGAATATGCATTGTCTTTATTTTTTCACAGATTTTATTTTTTAGACCAATTTTAGAATCACAGTAAAATTGAGTAGAAGGTACAGATAATTCACAAATACCACCTGCCCCATACAAACACAACCTCCCTCATGATCAACATCCCATATCAGAGTGGTACATTTGTTATAATTGATGAACCTACATTGATATAGCATCACCCACGTCCATAGTATACACTAAGGTTCACTTGGTTTTGCACATTCTATGGTTTTGAAAAAATATATAATGACATGTATCACCAATTTAGTAAAGTACAGAATAGTTTTGTTGCCCTAAAAATCCTCCACTCTTTGTCTGTTCATCCCTCTATCACCCCTAACTCCTGGCAACACTGATTGTTTTATTGTCTTTATAGTTTTATCTTTTCTGGAATGTCATATAGTTGGAATCACACAGCAAGTTTTCAGATTGGATTCTTTCATGTAGTAATATGCATTTATTTATTTAAGTTGCTTCCATATTTTTCCACAGCTTTATGGCTCATTTCTTTTTAGTGCTGGATAATATTCCATTGTCTGGATGTACCACAGTTTATTTACCCATTCACCTACTGAAGGACATCTTGGTTGCTTCCAAGTTTTGACAATTATGAATAAAACTGCTATCAACACTCATATGCAGGTTTCTGTGTGGACATGTTTTCAACTCTTTTGTGCACAATTGGTGGGTCGTATGGTAAGGATATGTTTAGTTTTGAAAGAAACTGTCAAAATTTCTTCCAACTTAGCTATACAATTTTGCATTCCCACCAGCAATGAGTAAGAGTTCCTGTTGCTACACATCTTCAAGAACATTTGGTATTGTCAGTATATTGAATTTTGGCAATTCTAATAGGGTTATAGCCGTATCACATTGTAGTTTTAATTCACAATTATGTTAAGCATCTTTTCATATGTTTATTTACCATCTGTGTATCTTCTTTGGTGAGGTGTCTGTTCAGATCTTTTGCCCATTCCATTTTTTAATTGGGTTGTTCATTTTATTGTTGTGTTTTTAAAGTTCTTTGTATATTTTGGATAAGAGTCCTTTACCATATATGTCTTTTGCAAATATTTTCTCCTGGTCTGTGGCTTGTCTTCTCATTCTCTTGAAAGGGTATTTTGCAGAGCAGAAGTTCTTAATTTTAATAACGCCTAACTGATCAATTATTTTTTTCATAGATCATGTCTTTGATATTGTATCTAAAAAGCTATTGCCAAACCCAAGGTCATCTAGATTTTCTCTTGTTATCTTTTAGGAGTTTTATAGTTTTGTATTTAACATTTAAATATATGATCTATTTTGAGTAAATATTTGTGAAGAATATAAGGTCTGTGTCTAGATTCATTTCTTTTTTGTATCTGGATGCCAAGTTGTTACAGCACTATTTGTTGAAAAGATTATTTATGCTCCATTGTATTGCCTTTGATCCTTTGTTAAAGACCAGTTGACTATATTTGTGTGGGCCAATCTCTGGGCTCTCTATCCTGTGTCTTTAATTTATATACCTATGTATTGTCTTTTCAAAAGTAAAAACAAGTGCTGTGAGTTATTCAAGGATGGATTGGCAATTTTATCTTTGAATTGACAGTGTCTTATGCATGATAAGTGCTCACAATACTTCTACATTTAGTGATATAATTATACCTAAAACATGGATTCAAAATAAGTACATTCTGACTGTGCCTTTCATTTAGAATGTATAATTTATATATGCTAGGTTAGATTTGTTTCAATTTTGTTAAGGAATTTTACATCCATTTTCATGAAGAATTTTTGTCTGTAATAATCTTCCTTTTCCTTCCCCTTCCTCCTCTTTCTTCCTCCTTTCTCCTCCTTCCTTTGCCTTAACTCCCCCTCTTCCTCCATATCCTCATCCACCTGCTCTTCCATATGTGTGTGTGTGTGTGTGTATACATATATATAACTCTTGATATAAAGAACAATTTTGAAGGACTCACAGTGTCTAATTTCAAGGTTTATTACAAAACCATGTTGACATAATGTATTGGTATAAAGACTGATAAGTCAATAGAACAGAGTAGAGAATTCAGAAATATACCCATACTTATGTGGTCAACTGCTTATCAACAAAAATGCCAAAGAATTTCAATGGGAAAGAAAATACTTTCAACAAATGAATTTGGATTATCTAGATACTCCTATTTAAAAAAAAAAAAAAACCTCTGAACGTCCTACACATTCTACTCAAAATTAGTTTGAGATGGATCATAAACAAATATAAAAGCTGAAATAATGAAGCTTATAAAAGAATATATCAAAATATATTTTCATCATCTTAGAGTAGCAAAGATGTATAAGATATGACAAAGAAGCACTAATCGTAAAAATTTGAATTTCATCAAAATAAAAATCTGCTCATTTATAAACACCATTTTGAAAATGCATAAACACACCATGGACTGGAAGAAAATCTTTACAATAAAAAAATGAGACAGAGAACAATGTTTAGATTATATAAAGAAATACAACAACTCAGTAACTCAAAGACACAACCAGTATGCAATGACAATAGACTTGAAGAGATATATCACAAAGGTAAATTTATAAATATTCTATAAGTACATTTAAAAGTGTTCAAAATTATTACATTTCAAGAAAATTAAAAACAAAACCACAGTGAGTTACTACCACACACCCACAATAGAGTTAAAATTAAAAAGACATCACCAAATGTGGATAAGGATGTAGGGCTACTGGAACTCTCATACGTGTCTGGTGATAATGTAAAATGGTATAGCCACTTTGGAAAATAGTTTTTAGTTTCTTATTGAAAAAATGAAACTTCTCTATGACCCAGTAGTTCTATAATTTTATCAATTTGCCTGTAAGAATTAATGACATATTTTCATAAAAATCTTTGTATGAGAATACTCTTAGCAACTTCATTCATAAAAGTTCCCAAATGTAAACAATAGTTATATAGAATGGAATACTACTTGACAATGAAAAGGAATAAACCACTGACACATGAAACAATATGGATAAATCCCAAAATAACATACTGAGCAAAATAAATCAATTACAAAACATATATAATCTATGGTTTTATCTATAAGAAGTTTATAATAAGAAAAATTAATTGATGGGGAAAGAAATCAGAGTATGGCTGTACATTTTGGAGACAGAAGTTGTCTGTGGGGGGAAGAAAACATGAGGAAACTTCTAGGTGATAGAAATTTTGTACATCTTGCTAGCACACATTTTTCAAAGCTTATTACACTTACACTTAATATCTATGTATTTAACTGTATTTGAGTTAAACTTCAATATAACAAAAATACATATATTCAACATGTATAGATATATACACATATATAATGTGAATATAATATATGGTCAATGCAAAAACAACATGAGTATCTCAATAGATGCAGAAAACATCTTTGATAAAATTCAACATCCCTTCATGTTAAAAAACTCCCAATAAACTAGGTATTGAAGGAACATATCTCAAAATAATAAGAGCCGTCTATGACTAACCCACAGCCAATGGTGGCAAAATGAAAGGGAAAAAGCTGGAAGCATTCTTCTTGAAAACTGGAACAAGAAAATGTTGCCCTCTTTCACCACATACTACCATTAACATAGTATTCTGCCCCATAGTGTTCTGGCCAGGGCAATCAGGCAAGAGAAAGAAATAAAGGGTATCCAAACAGAAAGAGAGGAAATCAAACTATTTTTGTTTGCAGATGACATGGTCCTATATCTAGAAATCTCCATCATCTCAGCCCAAAAGTTTCTTAAGTTGACAAGCAACTTCAGCAAAGTCTCAGGATAAAAAATCAATTGTGCAAAAATTGCCAGCATTCCTATACACAAACAACAGGTAAGCTGAGAGCCAAATCATGAATGAACTGTCATTCATAATTGCCACAAAAAGAATAAAATACCCAGGAATACAGCTAACAAGGAAAGTGAAGAACCTCTTCAAAGAGAACTACAAACCACTGTTCAAAGAAATCAGGAATGATACAAACAAATGCAAAAACATTCCATGCTCGTGGATAGGAAGAATCAATATTGTGAAAATGGCCATACTGGCCAAGCAGTTTATAGATTTAATGCTATTTCCATTAAACTACCATTGACATTCTTCACAGAATTAGAAAAAAAAGTATTTTAAAATTCATATGGAAACAAAAAAGAGCCCAAAAAGCCAAGGTAATCTTAAGCAGAAAGAACAAAACTGGAGGCATCACGCTACCTGACTTCAAACTATACTACAAGGCTACAGTAACCAAAACAGCATGGTACTGGCACAAACACAGACACATAGATGGATGGAACAGAATAGAGAACCAGAAATAAGACCACACACCTATAACTGTTTGATATTCGACAAACCTGATTATGGGGATAGGATTTCTTATTTAATAAATGGTGCTGAGAGAACTGGCTAGCCATATGCAGAAAATGGAAACTGGACTTCTTCCTTAAACCATATACTAAAATCAACTCGAGATGGATTAAAGACTTAAATGTAAAATCCAAAACTATAAAAAACCCTGGAAGAAAACCTAGGCAATACCATTCAGGACATAGGCACAGGCAAATATTTCATGACAAAAATGCTAAAAGCAATTTCAAACAAAAGCAAAAATTGACAAACACGTTCTAATTAAACTAAATAACTTCTGCATAGCAAAAGAAACTATCAACAGAGTAAACAGACAACCTAGAGAACGGGAGAAAATTTTTGCAATCTATGCATTTGACAAAGGTCTAATATTCAGCATCTATAAGGAACTTAAATTTATAAGAAAAAAACTTTACAAGAAACAACCCCATTAAAAAGTGGGCAAAGGACATGAACAATTCTCAAAAGAAGACATATCTGTGGCCAGCAAACATATGAAAAAGAGCTCAGTATCACTAATCATTAGAGAAATGCAAATCAAAACCACATTGAGATACCATCTCACACCAGTCAGGGTAGCTACTATTAAAAAATCAAAAAACAAATGTTGGTGAGCTTGTGGAGAAAAAGGAATGCTTTTACACTGTTGGTGAGAGCGTATGTTAGTTCAACCATTGTGGAAGACAGTGTGGCAATTCCTTAAAGACCAAGAGGCAGAAATACCATTCAACCGAGCATTCTCATTACTGGGTATATACTCAAAGGAATATAAATTGTTCTGTTATAAAGACACATGCATGTGTATGTTTTTTTGTTTGTTTTGTTTTTGGTTTTGTTTTTGTTTTGACAGAGTCTTGCTGTCACCCAGGCTGAAGTGCAGTGGTACAATCTTGCAAGCTCCACCTCCCGGGTTCACACCATTCTTTTGCCTCAGCCTCCCAAGTAGCTGGGACTACAGGCGCCTGCCACCACACCTGGCTAATTTTTTTGTATTTTTAGTAGAGATGGGGTTTCACTGTGTTAGCCAGGGTGGTCTCAATCTCCTGACCTCATGATCTGCCCACCTCAGCCTCCCAAAGTCTTGAGATTACAGGCATGAGCCACTGTGCCCAACCAATGCATGTGTATGTTTATTGCAACACTATTCACAATAGCAAAGACATGGAATCAACCTACATGCCCATCAATTATGCGGTGGATAAAGAAAATATGGTACATATATACCATGGAATACTATGTAGACACAAAAAGGAATGAGATCATGTCCTTGGCTGGGACATGGATGGAGCTGGAGGCCATTAACCTTAGCAAACTAATGCAAGAACAGAAAACCAAATACCACATTTTCTCACTTATAAGTGAGAGGTAAATGAGAACACATGAACACATTGTGGGGAACAACACATACTGGGGCCTGTCAGAGGGTTGGGGGTGGGAGGAGGGAGAGGATCAGGAAGAGTAGCTAATGATGTCAGGCTTAATACCTGGGTGATGGGATGATGTGTGCAGCAAACCACCATGGCACGCATTTCCCTATGTAACAAACCTGCACATCCTGCACATGTACCCCTGAACTTAAAATTTGGAGATTAAAAAAAGCTTTAATTTGCCAAAGACCCTAGATACAATATTCACATTTAATGTTTACTTAGACATTATATGGTGAAGACAACTAAGATAAAGGGATCTCAAATTTTTAAAAAATATGCTCAATGAATAAACAGTACAAAATTCTGTGGATGAAAAATTCACTCATCTTTAGGTTGAAATGGTCCACTGAATATAAAACAATGAATTAAATTGACCCACACATCCACACATATTTTGATCATAGTTCAGTACATTAAAGACAAAAGAGAAAATTCTAAAAGTTCCCAAAGAGTTTTTATACCTCAAAAAAGCAAAATAGATTAACATTAGATATTCCATCAGTAATGCAAGAAATGGTAAACTTAGAATTCTATACTAGACAAACTAACGTTCAAGTGTGTATGAAGAATGAACATGCTTTTTGATGTCTAAGGACTTAGAAATTTTAATATTCACAAACTGTTTCTTGAAAGATTACTCAGGATTGTCTTCTACATAAAAAGCTGATTCATTAACAAAAACAAAGCACAAAAAGGTCAAGCTAGAGATTTAGGTTGCCAGAGACTGTAAGGCAAAAATAAAACTAAAAATTAATATGAAATATATATTAATGTAAATGGTACGATAATATATCTGGAAAATCAAAGAAAATCCATAAGAGATTTTATTATAAAACCAATAAGAATGTCAATATTAAAAAAGAATGTTTTTAATATACCAGCAATAACCATCTAGAAAATAAAATGAAGAACCTCTTTTACAATCATAACAACAAAATACATAGAAATAAACTTAAGACATGTACAGAATTTATATGAGGAAAGCTGTAACTCAATTGGACATGAACAAGAACTTGAATAAATGTAAAGAAATATCTTTTTGTTGGTATAAGAATCAGCATTATCAATATCTAACTGATCCTAAATTAACCAAAAATTTCAACAATATTTTTAAAGATTTCGGTGACATAATGTTTTAGGAACTTGACTAAATAATTCTGGTATTCATATGTAGAGTAAACATGGAAAAAGTATTTAGAAGTGTAACAGAAGGAATTGCTCTATCAAATATTAAGATATATTACAAAATTATAGTCATTGAAAGAATATAGACTTGTGGTATTATAGATTGGTTGCTGTTAGGGATTGAATTGTGTCTTCCCAAAATTTATTTGTTGAAGTTTTAACCTCCAGCCCCTTAGAATGTGACCTTATTTGGAAATAGAATCATTGCAGTTGTAATTAGCTAAGTTAAGATGAGTACTAGAGTAGTGTGGGCCCCTAATCCAATATGACTGGTGTCCTTATAAGAAAGGGAAATTTGGACATAGATAGGCACACAGGGAGACTGTCATGTGAAAGCCAGAGCTCAGTTCTACGGTTTGAATGTTTTTGTCTCCTCTCAAGATCATGTTGAAATTTAATCTTCAGTACAACAGTATAGGGAGGTGTGGCTTCAACAAGTCATTGAGTCATGAGGGCTTCTTCTCCATGAATGGGATTAAGTACACTTATAAAAGGGCTTGATAAAGGGAGTTCTCTTTTTGCCTTTCTGTCTTCTGCTATGTAAGGCACAGTGTTCCCACCCTCCAGAGAATGCAATGTTTAAAATGCCATCTTGGAAGCAAACAGCAGCCCTCACTTGACACCGAACCTGCCAGCACCTTGATTTTGGACTTCCAGTCTCTAGAATAGTGAGAAATATATTTCTGTTTTTTATAATTTACTCAGTCTCACATCCCATGTTATATGGCAGTACAAAATAAACTAAAACAACAGAAGTGACACTTCTACAGCCAAGGAACACAGAAAACTACAGCAAACCACCAGAAGTTGGGGGAAAGGAATGGAATAAGTTCTTCCTTACAGCTCCCAGAAGAAACCAACCTGCTAGTACCTTGATCTTGGACTTCTAGCATCCAGAACTGAAAGGCAATACATTTCTGTTATTTAGGTCAGCCAATTCGTGGTACTTTGTTCTGAAAGCACTAATACAGGTGGGGGAAAATGGACTATCAATAAATCGTGTTGAAATAACTAGCTGGTCATTTGGATAAATGAATCGGGTATTTACCTTTCTCATACTAAGTTTAATTACAACTTTATCAGTGTTTAATATTAAAAAAGTACTGGAAGAAAATAATGGTGAATATATTTTAAAATCTTAGTGTGAAAGCATTTTTTAGCATTATACAAACTCCAACAACTGTAAAAGACTAAAAGTTACCACTTTTTTAAAGCCTTTAAACTAGTATAAGTTGTAAATATTGATAATATAAAGTATTGGCAAAATTTTTTGCAAGTGGCACTTTAATACACAGGAGATATTTTCCATCTAACAAAATATAAATTATATATGTTATAAAAATAAATGGTATATATTATGTAGTATATATATATTCTTTAGCTCAGTAAATGCACACACAGACACAAACACACATACACATATATATTCTTTAGCTCAGTAAATCATAAAAAATTTATTTCAGTACATAATTGGTCAAATACTCAGCATTATACATTATACACCCACACACACACACACACACATGCACACACACAGTGTGTGTATCCATGCAGCATTATGTAAATAGAGAAAAACTAGAAATAAACTAAAGTTCATCAGTTGAGAGTGGTTAAATAAATTATTCTTCATTAATAAAATAGAGTTGTCTTCATCCATTAAACATGTGGCACATCTCTATTTAACAATATGGAAAGATCTCTATGACAAATTGTGGAGTGAAAAAGCAGGTTAAGAATGAATGTGTAGTATGATCTTCTACACCTTCTGCACACACAGAAAGTTTCACCATCTGAAGTCTAGAAAAATAATGAACAAAATTGTAATATTGAACACAATAGTGATAGAATTTAAGATGACTTCTAATTTAGTTTCCATACTTTTTATCTTATTTAATATTTCAACATGAGTGTCCATTAATAATAATTCTGAGGCTATTTCCATTATTAATATAATTTTAAATAAACATATGTTTTAAATATTTATTCTTTTTCCCTAGGAATTCTATTCTATGAATGTATCTTAAATAATTAGAGTTGTACCCATGAATTTACATGCAAGGATAATATTTGTTTTTAATTTTGAAAATTAGGAAATTCCAGAAATATATAACAATGAAAAAAATTTATAACATAAATTTTGCCGTATTCAAGCAAATACTATGCAGCAATAAAGTATAGTATTATATAGGTCAGTATATAAGATTAAAATTTTGTGGGAAAACATGTATATATGTACAAATACTTAGAAAAAAGCATTGAAAGACATATACCAAATCATTAGATGTGTTTTTTCCTCAGGTACAGAATTACATTATTGATATTTCTTCACAATTCTTTATAATAATTACATATGACAATAAAAATATACAGTATGGAAACCTTTTGTTGTTGTTGTTACTGGTGCTGATACATGTGTATATGCTAACAAGCACAATGTACATATTTTAGGGAAAAAAATGTTTGAAATAACATTTTCTTTTTCCTTTTCTTCCCAATCCATCTACTGTTCACCACATATCACTCCTACAAAGGCGGTTTTTCTGGGCTCCTTCACTCTGAGATCAGTAAGAATGCCTTGTACTCACAGGAATCAAAGAAGTGTACCATCGAGGAGACAGATTGCCCTTTCCGGGAAAGGAATCTCTGTCTTCATCCTTCCTTGTTCCTCCCCCCTTCTTATTTTAGTACTTTTGGAGATTAGAGATGTTAATTGTATGACTTGTGGAATGCAGCTTTTCTTCCAACAGCTGTGTTTATGGTATATAATCTATTAGCTGCTTATATGCCAACATTTAAAAGCATTCTGATGGATACTACTCAGCAAGGGATTAATCTTTTCCAGCATCACCCTCTTGACCTGCAAATGTACATTAGTGAGGGGGTATAATGCCTGCTCTGACATTTGTTTGCAATGCATCCAAACACATTCTGGGATGTACATTCAGGTTTCCTGGCATTGAGACAGACTGGCAAGTCAGCACTAAGACATATAGTTCCCATATGCCAGGGTTAAGAAAACTAGATCTTCTTGAGCATTTCCATTGAGCTTTGTGCTATATATTTTCATGTAGACCCTCCCCTTAGGTTTACTCTGCTCACATCAATCATACCACTTCAAGTGCAGTGGAGGACATAAGGTAAATAAAATCTAAGAAGAACAGGTTTTGATTTCCTCTCATGTGCTCTCTGCACATCATTTGGTCAGGACCACCCTAAAAAAACAAGGGAAGTAGAGGATTGCCTTTCAAAACCTTCTTCACTTCTCTACCCAATGGCTTCTCTCGTGATATCTGAAATTTTAGTTTCAAATCCTGGCTTTATCATCTACTAGCTGTATGAACTTGGGTAGATTACTTAAGGTTCTGAAGCTCTGTAATGGGTATCATATTACCTCTATCGCAGGTATTTGGGGAAGATAAAATAAATCATACATGTGACCCAGAAGAGACCTGGAATATAAGAATTACTCTATGCATGTTTATGGAAACAAAGTAATGTTTTATATTTTAAGGCTGGTTCTTTTGAGTCATAAAAGAGTGTTTTATAGTTGCTGTTTATGATTTCTCTGTTAAGATAGGACAATTCTTGGGAAGAGCAGTATCATATGCAGAGAATAGATGACATATAATTCAGGTTACTTGATAGCTTCCTGAAATTAATAAGACCCACTGGGGAAGGATCACAAAATAAGTGTGTGAGAGGGTGAAAGAGGCAAAGTCTTTCACTAGTCAATGGATCTGATCCTCTGCCATCAATTATTATGTTTTGGCCTGGGTAATTTTTTCACTAATGTTTCTACTAAATATAAGCAATAAATTTCATCTGAAAACCAGTTCACATACTCTTTTATTTACAGGTGTCTAATCTCCTGGCTTTTAAATCTCCTTTTATTAAACATTTTTTTAAAATACAGTATGAACAATCCTAAGAATTTAGGTCAAAATGTAATAGCGTTTTCTACCCTTAGTCAGCTTTGGAGTTTGAGCTTGACTTTCCTCACTATGAGAAAGCAAAGGGAATGGATCAGCATAAACCTTGAGAACATTCAGATCTTGGATCAAATCTTGCTCTGCCACCTTATTAGGTGAGTGCTTTGGGGCAAGTCACATAACCTGAATAAAATACAGGTCAGTATAGTTGGCATTATTGTTATCTTATTATTTCTTTAGCTGCTGTGACATCATTCATATTTTCACTGGAAATGCTTTGAGCAGGAGAAGGGACTAATATAGGCTGCTCATGAGTGAGGGTGAACACTGAAGTTGTTGTCTGAAGTAGCAACTGGTTTACTAGGTGGACTAAAAAATGCTTCTACAAATAGTTATAAATGTTAGATATTATTTTTCTGTTTAGATAATTTATTTATTTTTTCTTTGAGACAGAGTCTCGCTCTGTCACACAGGCTGGAGTGCAGTGGTGCGATCTTGGCTCACTGCAACCTCTGCTTCCCGGGTTCAGGCAATTCTTCTGCTTCAGCCTCCCAAGTAGCTGGGATTACAGGCACACACCACCACGCCCAGCTAATTTTTGTATTTTTAGTAGAGACGGGGTTTCACCATATTGGCCAAGCTGGTCTTGAACTGCTGACCTCATGATCCACCTGCATCAGCCTCCCAAAGTGCTGGGATTACAGGTGTGAGCCACCATGCCCGGACTGTTTAGAGATAATTTCAAATTGTGATTCATTTTTGAGAAGGACTAATATTTCAATCCCTGTGATGGAACACAATTGCTACAATGTGTCAGTGCCCTCCAGCTGAAGAACACTAGGAAGATAATTCTACTTGAACAAAGTTGGGTTTATGAGCTCATTGCAATGAAGGAAAACACACCATGGAGACCCTTGGGCCTCTGAGAATGATGGTGTTAGCAAAGGACTCTGGGACTTGAGCTTGTGTTAGGTGATTGAGGGTAGGTTCAAGAAAGCAGGGCTTTGCACTGGATTGGATGCTGCCAGGAAGGAAGAATACTTCTATGATTGCGTATCTTAATAAATCTGATTATAGAAGGTGAAAGGAATAAAGCAAGCCTAAAGCAGCAGTCATTCATAGCAGCCAGGATAGAAAGATATTTGGCCATTTTTGTGGTTGAGTCTTTTGGGAGAAGTCTTCTTTCTGTCTTGACCCATCACGGTCACAGAGCAGCCTTGTATGATATTAGTGCTTTGTGAAATTCAGTTTGGTGTGTTCAACAGGAAAACACTATGGACTGTGAGTGCCAGGCTAGCTCCTTACATTACCAGGACCTAACTGATAGTGGCAGGCCAGGTCCTGCCTGTCAAGGTTTGCTTTTCTGTCTCAGCTTCTCATTCTCAAAGTTATTTCAAGGAAAATTCCAGTCAAAATTTTACCAACACCGCGATTACCCAAACTTCATTCCATGCTGTAGTATATAATTACTTAATATTTTCAATCAATTTATTTTAAAATTAAATGAATATATTTTATAAAGAAACTTTATATTATTATTGTAAGTTGATACTAGTATTACTCAAAAAGAGTGACATATAAAAATAAAGACAATATAAATTCTAGCCAGATGACTTTGCCCATTGGCATCTCTCTTCATTATAAAGGGAGTCTTGAACATGTAGAGACATGTGAAAATATTACTAAACTGAAACTTTGTGTTTGACATGATGTGAGGGACTAAAAAAGAAATAGAAAATAATGTATTGCTATAATAACCAACACTATTTAATACCAAGTCTACATGACTGCTAAAATAATGACAATTACTACCTATTTTACTGCTGTTGTACACCTCTCACATTTTGGGAGTCACCAACTCTTGATTCTGGACATGACTAGCTCTCTGAGTCCAAAATATACGGAAAAACATTCTTTCTTTCGGTGATTGATTCCAGCTGTGTTATTGAAAACAGTGCCTATGTGACTTGAGATCATAAGAAAAAGAATTGCTCTAATTCATTTTATTAACTGTTTAGTGCAGGTCGTTTTGCCCAGAGAGGGAAGGACCTTGTACACTGTGTGAGGATTTACATAAAATCTAGTTTTAATAAACACTATCATGCAAATGCTCTTGCTTTATTTACAATTGCCTATGCTTCCTTTCATTTCTAAAGTAGCAAGATCAAATTTTTCCGAAAAAAATTGAATCAAGAAACAGGATATTTGCATCTCCTTTCAATAACTGTGTGACATTGGGCACATTGCTTACCTTCATTTTTCTCATCTCTAACTGAATAGGAAAGGCTCACCTCAAATCAGGTAATGTTGCAAGGATGAAATAAAATAATAGGCTGAAAAATAATATTGTTTTCAAATAAGAATCAAAAGACCCCACTCATCCACTTTAATCAGCATATGCTGAACAAGGGCTTTTAGCCCTAGAGCTCTTTCTTTCTATGAAAAGCTCAACATAGCAGTTTTGATCACACAATAGTTAATCTTAAGCATGTAACTTTCCATGATCATCTGAACTTTAGTTGTAGATTGAATGCTAAGTTGTTTTCCTTTCTTTTGAACTTTGATGGCCTTTTTCCAGATGGTGCCATGTAGTATACTGCTTGTGTTGTAGTTCCTGATGACTTTGAAAGCTCTTTCCATCAGAGATGGCTCGCCACCCCACCGGGGACCCAGAATGACCAGCCTTCCCATATGTTTCTCGTCCCTGCACTCTAAATTCTTTTGCTGCCTTGCCTGCATAACAAATATCAACATGGTTCTGGACCTGGATTTCTCCCAGGTGAGCAGCCTTCAAAGTAAGTGTGAGGTCTCCAGGAGAAGCTTTTTCTTTGTCCATCTGTGTGTCCATTGCCAGCTAGCGTCTGGTTTCCTTGGTGATAGTGTGATTAAAGGAGGTGGCAAAGATAGGGAGAAAGGGGGGAAACCAAAGAGGCTTGTGATTATCCAGATCTGGAAGTGAGTGAAGGAAGGGAGACAAAATTAAAATTTCCATGTGAAACAACAAATGAGGTTGAGAATGACAAATTTAGTGCAAGTAGCAGGTTAGCAGTGACATGGCATCAACACATATACCGTAACTTTGCATGTCATTATTTAACATGTTAATATATCACTATTACATGCTCATTACTGGTGGCAGCATCACACCAAAGAGTAGATCATTATTTACTGGAGGGCCATGGCAGTGACTGATGAGAATCATATAATACAGCAGCTATCTTAGGTTTTTCATGATGGAAAGAAAGTAATACTTGTTTTTTCATGCCTGTGGGTAAGTAGAACTTGACATATGATGGGCTTAGGTAGAATGGTCTTTCAATTCTTTTGCCAAGGGCTTTAATATCATTCCCAGCCTGAGTATATAAAATTTACCTGTGTTACCCTTTCAGTTATACTTTTTCACTGTTTTCTTTTCTTTTTTTTTTCATCTTTCTTTTTAAAGTCTTTTTCCATTTTTTGCCTCTTTACCTCTTTTAGTCTCTTTCTTCCGGGCTAAGTAGTATGTCCTCATAAATGCTGTACTTCTTTCTTTTTTGTAAATTTTTAGTTGCTACCTAATGATTACACACATTTTTGTGTATATGTGATATTTTGATACATTCATGCAATGTGTAGTAATAAAATCAGGGCAATTGGGAGATCCATTATCTCTAACATTGATAATTGCCTTGTGTTGGGAAAATTCTTAATCTTTCTTCAAGCGATTTTGAATGATACAATAAATTGTTGGTAACTACTGTACAATCAAATAGTAGAACTCTTAAGCAGTCTATAAGTATTTATTGAATACCTATTAGATTCTCAGCGTTTGCCTGTTGATCCCAATTTGGTGGGGTACAAGTCCAGCTATGTTGGTCTAGTGTTGGCTGTTAAATCTAAGCTGCCTTCTTCAGAGCATTTCAGATAATGAAATAATGAGATCAATGGCCTGCTTTAATGTAATGGTATCTCTTTGTGGGAGAGGGGATAAAAGGCAAAATTAACAGGTGATGGGGGAAATTTTATCAGACTGTGACCTCTTTGCAAGCAAGACACATTAGCCTTTTCATCGTGCACCATTTTGTAGAAAGGTGTCTGGCATGTAGAAAGTGTTCAATAAACAATGCTCACAGAAAGAGAGCCATTCACACTCCATGGAAGATGTTCACTAACATTTTGTAAAATGAACAAATGAATGGAGGAAAAAGGGGGGTAGGTCTTGCTGTCTCAGAGGTGGCAGAGGCAGAAGAATGTCCATGTATGAGTGGACCCACACAATTCAAACCTGTATTGTTCAAAGGTCAGCTGCATATTTGAGTACAGTGCATAGTTGAGTACAGCAGTTACTGCCATATACTTGAGGAATCTCATCCTCTTAACCATCTTGACCATATTTGGCCCTGAGAAAAATAGACTTTCTAGAAAATTACTTTTAGAACAACATTTCCTTTTGCCGTTTTCATATCGTTGCCTGTCAAAAGCACACAAGTTACAGATTTGATCTGAGAACAAAGGATCCCGTAAGGTTGGCTATACGGTAACCAGGACCATTTGGGGATATCAGCTCAAAATCAAAGTTCAGGAAATCCTTTATCAAGCTAATATCTAATAATTTCTGTTAGGTCATTTAGTTTTGGAATTTGCTTTAGGAAGCTCAAGTAGAAAAATCTAGTATAGTATATGAAGTTGATATCAATTTGGAATATTAACTGCTTTATCATTTTTTCATTTTATTAGCCATTTTACTTTAAGATGTTTGCAATGGTATATAACCATTTCTATATTTTTATTTTTCTGGCCTCATGATCAAGATCATCCCCAATGTAAAAGTTATTTGGTATTTACTAATCTAAACACTAATATTACTGCTATCAAATCTTAATAGTAATATTTTATGATTTTGTTTAAAGAAGTGTATCAAAAAACAGATGATTGGTGGCTTATAAAAGGCTAAAGAAATACATTGCTCATTTTGAAAGATGTAAATCTTATATTGCTCCCCATGAATTTACTGACAAAACCTTCTGCTAGAATTGTAATATTGGAAGGGAAACCCTTTTTTATTGTTGTTGCACTTGGAAATTTAATGAACATTTAGCCATATTTGAAAAAAGAAACCGTTTACTTATTAAAAGATTAAATTAAATTAAAAATCCTTTTTAATTGAGTGACAAGGAAGCAATATGTAGTTTTCTTTAGCTACGTTGCCAAATCCTACTGGAGTATGTTAATTCATTTCACAATACATGGACACATTGAGGACAGAGCCAATGGTAAAGCCTGCCTGCAGAGAGCTTGCCCTAGTAGTGAGGTCGACTGGAGGTAAACACCTGTTCTCTTCGTCTGATATGGAATCCTTGCCAGCAGATTGTACCTGATAGATTATTTAAACTGCTCATTATTTATTTTATTCTTTCAGAGGATGACAGAAAGGTCTAAAGAAGTCATTAGAGAAATTTAGGCTCATGTGTGATTTATTTTCTCATAACCACTTCAGTGAACCCAACTCATCACCCCTATTTTATTGAATTTTGGTGAAACCTAAAATGTATTTTGGCAGTGGCACTTTTTATTCTTTTACTTCTCAATTAATATGCAATTTAAAGAGAACACAGTCCATATATGTTATCTTCATTTATTCGAAACTCCCCTATGTAGTATTTTGTAAAGTAAGTTAATGTTCAGAAATTTGTTGGATATGTCATTTTTAAATATAGAAGAAATATCGTCAGAAATAAATTAATATTCCTAGGAAGTTTAACTTTTACTCTAAATTATAAAATAATAATCATTACAGATTCCAAATATGAAAGGGTTTTATTGAAATATTTCAACTACAGCAGGTATTAAAAAGAGACTCTCTACCAGATGTAAAGCACTAGGCAAATATGAATTAGTTAATTTAAGTACAGTATATATAGAATTTAAGATTAATTTATATATAATATATAATAAATATAATTATATAACAATATGATTATATAATTATATATAATATATTAATGATAAATTAATTAATATATATATCTTTCTCTCTGTATGTACTATTGATGTAGATAATATACAGGCTAACACCAGTTATCTCAAGGCTATGTTTATCTTTGAGATTTATCAAATCTAACATGGAATGGGATTTCTGAATAGTTTTAATGCATTGAATTTTGGATACAGAAAATTTTCTTTTAAACTCACTAAGGATGTATATCAGTCAGTAACTAATCAGAAAAATAGAAGTAACTCTAGAGATTTCATCAGAGAGATTTAATATGGGACTCCAATATACTGGTTTTAGGAGGAGCTTATAGGAGGGGTTTATAGAGCCAGAGCTCGACCTCTGCAGAAGTTGCCCAGTGGAGCTGGTGCCTCTGAGCATGTGCAGTGGAGCTGGTTCTGAAGCACAATGTGCCAGAATGAAGGGCCATTGTTCAGGCAACTCAGACAAGTCTGATAAGTAAAACAGAAAGAATCAAATCCCTTCCCTCATCCTGCTGCCCGCAGACCTTTCTCTGGTGTCCCTTAGTAACTAAACATACAAATGAGAAATAGAGTTTTTAGAATCCCATTCTCAGCATCACAAAGCAGAGAAGAGAGTTGGGGTCCACCAATAGCAGAATAGCTGAAAGAGGGGGCAAGTATCAAAAGAGCACCTTAGCTGTTTATCTGTCTTGTAATGCAAATGATCACTCTTCTTCAATGTCTTTTGTAAATTTCTTTTTAAAAAAATATAGATTTTCTTAGATTCACACAAAATCTTTTCTTACAACCAGGCACTGAACCCCGGATCCATGTCACTGCCTTTCGTTCCCTTGCTGCATCCTACAACAGATCCTTTCAACACACACGTTCTTATTTGCACATAGCACTTAGCCATGGAAAACAAACACAGCATTACCCAAAACACTCAGTCTCAGTATGATCGAAATATATTTTTGCAGCTATAGGTAGTTGAAGCGTATGTTAAGAAAAGCAAAGTGTGGGCTTCCCAACAAAACATGGTGCTCCAGAATTCACTTGTAAAGCCCACTTCCTGCCAAAATGATGGCATTCACGTAGGAGCAAACAGGGTTCATCACCTGGATGCCCCACGGAGTTTGGTGGGAGGCAGTCTTGTCTTTCATCACTTTTTCCTTCTTCAGGCTCCAAGTAATTTGAAGACTGCTTCCTTTGTTATTAAAGGAATTCCTTACTACTTTTATTCTATATATGTATGTGTGATATTCTATGCGTATGGAATCCTTTTACTTAGTTATCTAAAATAAACTTACCTCTTAAATAATCGATGGCTCCATTCTCAGCAAACTAACACAGGAACAGAAAACCAAACACCGCATGTTCTCACTCCATAAGTGGGAGTTGAACAATGAGAAAACATGGACGCAGGGGAAAAAACAATACACACCAGGGTCTGTCAGGGGGTCGGGGGCAAGGAGAGGGAGAGCAGTAGGGCGAATACCTGACGCACACAGGGCTTAACACTCAGATGACAGGTCAATAGACGCAGCAAACCACCGTGGCACATGTATACCTATGTAACAAACCTGCACATTCTGCACATGTATCCTGGAACTTAAAATAAAATATAAATAAAGAAATAAATAAAGTACAGCTTCCCACCCCCCCAAAAAATAATGAATAGAAATCTTAAGTAAATTTTCACCATTAGAAAGAGATTCTATTTCATTACAGCTATTCATTTTCAATGTATAAATAAAATCACAAAAAGTCCTAAAAACTAGTTGATGGCTCAAGATAATAAAATAATCAAGTTCTGATTTTGTAAATTTTGTTCTTTAGATGGTGAAGTTTGCAGGTATGAGCAAAAATGGTAAGTTAAAAATGGAAATACATATAGAATATGGCCAGTGCTACAAGTAAAGGGAGTTGGCTAGGGTTGAAGTTTAAAATAATACTCTCAAGCAGAAATCCCAACTTTGCCACTTACTGGTCATGTACTATTGGCCAAGATCTAGACCTAAGTGAGCCTCAGTTTCCTCATTAGGAATATTATTACTATCTACTTGGTACAATTATTGTGCAGATTAAATGAGATTTTGTATGTAAAAGAATTTAGCCTAAGACCTGGAATACAATATATGCTCAAGAATACTAGAGGGTGAAAAACTTTCCTGGGCCATGTAAACGTTATAGTTCTTTGATTAAATATGATCAAATGTCTCTGTTTCCTTTCAATCTACGTAAAACATACAAAAATTAAAATCCAGTTTTCTTTCTGCCATAAGCTCGCAGCACAGTGGTTCTGGCTGTGTGAAACTGTCTTTTTATTTAAAGAATTACTGAATTATTTTAAAGTCATTTTGTAGAATATTTCTCTCTAGATGTTTCCCCCTTTAAGAGAAATTTAGAAGAGGTAGATGATGGAGAGAGGGAACTCTAGAAGACAGCAAGCCAAAACTGAAAGAGCCCTTTTGACTTAACTATGTATTCTACCCCTTCCCTGACACACTTACTGGGTTCCGAATCCAGCATGCTAACCATTACACCATGGAACCTTACAGTCCGCACACACATAATCTCATGGCAGTGAGATAGCAGATGAAAACAGACTGTTTCCTTTAGGGAGCATCATTCTATTTCTTCTAACCTACCTCCCCCTTACTTGTTCATTGAATCAGAATCTGGTAGACAAATTGCTGTGGACACAATAGAAACAGGTGATATTGCACCATGACCATTAATATTATTTTGGATTTTTTCTCTTTTTTGTTCCTTTGGGAATCTGAGGATACTACTCATTGGATAGAAAGCTTTAAAAGTTAAGACATTACTTTAAAGTTAACTTAGAATTTTGACATGAGTCTTTGTTCTTCTAGCTGTATTTGTTCTGTGTATAATCAAACACTTAGAGGCTAATATAGAAGGACTCAGGTCCTTCTCATAGGGTCTATTGAACAGTGTACATCTATCACCTGCACCCCCAGCAATTTTTAAGCCAACACATCCTTTAAAGCTCAGTTAATATGTCTCCTACTACCATGACAAGTTTTATCATCACTATGCCTCGCCCTGTGTGTAGGCCTGTGTCACACTCTCCTGAGTTTACTCTTTGACATCTCCTTCTCACACTGAACCATAAGCTACTTGAAGGTAGGACAATGTCTCATTGAACTTAGTACTCCATAACCTAGCTGTAACTACCACGGCAAGTATTCCATAAATTATATATTAATAAGCTAGTGAGCCCAGTTCAAATGGCTGAATAGAAAGTCTGACACTGAATTAGGAAACAGGAATAATAAAGAACACCAGAATTGAAAAAAATATTGTCCGGCTGGATAGAAAGAGCCATAAACCTTAAATAGAGATGGTGATGAGAATGTTTGTGAAGATAAGTTGACAGAATCTCTGCCTTTTACTTACAAACAGATTTTTTTTCTGGCTCTAATAACATTCCATGCTTAAGTGAAGGTCAAGTTGAATTAGAACAACAGAATTGTTCTAATAGGTCATGAAGGAAATAGAATATTGTCCAAAACAGTAATTAAGCAACTTTCAATTTTGACCACATTTTGCTGATTAAAATCTCTTAAAAGATAAAAATTGAATAAATAAAAACATCAGCAAACAAACAAAATACACATTTGTGCTGTATGCAACTTATGGAGTACCTGATATGAACTAAAGAATGAGTACACTGAGTGGAGTGATGGAATTATAAAAGTTTCATGTAGACACAGAATCAGTTTGGGAAAAAAATGTAACAAGTGTTTTATAAAATTCAAAATTTCTTGGCTAGACATGGTAGGTTCTTTACGATGTGCCTAACCCTCCCCCAGACTCTACTCATTGGTTCAACCTTATTTCCTTCCACTTTCCTGCAGACCTCACCAAAGACATCACCATTCCCCACCAGTCTTTTGCGCACATGTCCTTCTATCCCTGCCACCCTTCAGCCTCTGCTTAAATGCCAGCCCCTCCATGGTGTCTTCCCTGGCTCCCCCAGTGTGAGTGATTCCAGCATCTGTGCCCTAGCATTTCACCATGTCGTATAATTTATCTCTCTGTCTCCACGACACGAAAAAGTGTATCCTTGAAATGAGGGGTCTTGTTATGGTTGTGTTTATGTTTCTACCACTTAGCACCAGGCCTGTTAAAAGAGCATGTGTCCAATGGATAAATTAAGGCTAAATGAGATTTTAGAAAGTTTTAGCACTTAAAAAAAATGAATTGAGGAAATGTAATTTTTAAAGATTTGGATGTGAATGTGTTACATCAATTAAGACATATCTGGGGAAAAAAAGAGGAGAAAACTTGGCCCCAGCAAACAGCTGAGGCCTCAGAATGACAGGGCAGACCTGGGCTGCGTTGCAATTTTTGCCACAGTATAAATCTTACCAGGTGATAAACCCAAGGAGATGTACAACAGAGCTTTCACAAATCAACATTTTCTCGGTATGTGGAAGATCCATTTGGAGTTCAGGCCTACCAGTTCAATACCTTTTCCCTCAATAATCATAGCAAGCAGAAGGTATTTAACTTCATGAATTATAAAATGACAAGAAACATTTCTGTATTGGTTGTAGATTCAATCCCACAACAGGTTCAAAAGTTCAGAAGCAGCTAATACCCAAATTTATCATACTATAGGTTACTACAAGGGCAGCAGTTTTAGATAATATATACTCTAAATTATTAAAGGTAAGCAGCAACAGGTAAGAACATGGTATTTTTAAGTATCCTCTTGTTTCCGAAAATGGTTTAGCACTTTTCAAATACTCCTCAGCATAGTAAATAATAAAACAATGTACACTTTAATATTAGTGAATAGCTGCTTGGCATGTTTTCTTGTAAATAGATATTTTATGTACTATTTTCTATAAATGTGATCATTATAATTGAACATTTATTGAATGCTTATTCTTTGGAAGAAACACTTTAAAATATTAACTACTCAAATTTTGCAATCATATAAAGTGTTTCTGTTATCAAGCTCATTGTACAGATAAGAAAACTGTATATGGGAGAGCATCAAAAACAACATCTTATTTTTATTTCCAAGTCTAAATTTACTCTGTTGCCTTTGCCTGGAAGGTTTTCTCCTCTTCAACTTGCTGCTCTATTCTATGCTCTCTTCAAGACTAATGTAAATCTTTCATGCACTTTCCTACAATCTTCTCTGATTTTTCTAGTCCTAATTTGGCTCCTTCTCTGTAATTATTCACTCATTTATTATTTTATTCATTCATCAAAACATCCACCCATCCATCAAACCTTTACTAGATTTTGTTATGTGAAAGGCTATGAGAGTTGCTGGAGATTTTGCATTAGATTTGTGTTTTTGCTTCACATAGTGGTTTTGTCGTCCTAATTAGATCATAAACTGCTTGAGGGTAAGTACATCAGCTGAAAGCCTAAATGAGTTAGGAGATGACAAAGGATAAATTCCAAAGTATAGTTGGGGTCAGGAAGTCAAAAAAAAAAAAAAAACTAGAGCAAGAGAAAGAAGTGTTTGGGTAATTAGGAGAACTAGGAGAATTTTCTGTACTATTCAGTTTTTCAGAGTGGTCTATAAGATGAAGAATAAGAAAAGACAACTGCCTTTGGGTAGAGTTAGTTGGAATTGTAAACTGAAGTGCTCAAAGAAGCATGCGACGTAGAAGTGACAGGCAGCCTGATACAGAGCTATCAGGAGTGATCTTGCCGAAGGCCCACTGGTGAGTGCCTCCCTATTTACAAGCACTCAATTCACAATTTTAAAAGTAATAAAAAGCAAAACATTGCTGTCTAAGCAAGTACTTCTGGAAGATGGGTTTAGCTAATGAAACATCAGTTTAAGGCCTCTGGGTAATATTGAATATTTACTGAACATTTACTAAGTATTGAACACCTACTGTGATTTTTATGTATCAGCTTGTCTGGGCCACAGATGCTCAGACATTTGATCAAACATTATTCTGGGTGTGTCTGTGAGAGTATTTTTGGATGAGATTAACATTTGAATCTATAGACAGAGCAAAGCAGATTGCTCACCCTAAAGAGGGTGGGTTTTTTTTTTTTTTATTATACTTTAAGTTTTAGGGTACATGTGCACATTGTGCAGGTTAGTTACATATGTATACATGTGCCATGCTGGTGCGCTGCACCCACTAACTCGTCATCTAGCATTAGGTATATCTCCCGATGCTATCCCTCCCCCCTCCCCCCACCCCACAACAGTCCCCAGAGTGTGATATTCCCCTTCCTGTGTCCACGTGATCTCATTGTTCAATTCCCACCTATGAGTGAGAATATGCGGTGTTTGGTTTTTTGTTCTTGCGATAGTTTACTGAGAATGATGATTTCCAGTTTCATCCATGTCCCTACAAAGGACATGAACTCATCATTTTTTATGGCTGCATAGTATTCCATGGTGTATATGTGCCACATTTTCTTAATCCAGTCTATCATTGTTGGACATTTGGGTTGGTTCCAAGTCTTTGCTATTGTGAATAATGCCGCAATAAACATACGTGTGCCTGTGTCTTTATAGCAGCATGATTTATAGTTCTTTGGGTATATACCCAGGAATGGGATGGCTGGGTCAAATGGTATTTCCAGTTCTAGATCCCTGAGGAATCGCCACACTGACTTCCACAATGGTTGAACTAGTTTACAGTCCCACCAACAGTGTAAAAGTGTTCCTATTTCTCCACATCCTCTCCAGCACCTGTTGTTTCCTGACTTTTTAATGATGGCCATTCTAACTGGTGTGAGATGGTATCTCATTGTGGTTTTGATTTGCATTTCTCTGATGGCCGGTGATGATGAGCATTTTTTCATGTGTTTTTTGGCTGTATAAATGTCTTCTTTTGAGAAGTGTCTGTTCATGTCCTTCGCCCACTTTTTGATGGGGTTTTTTGTTTTTTTCTTGTAAATTTGTTTGAGTTCATTATAGATTCTGGATATTAGCCCTTTGTCAGATGAGTAGGTTGCAAAAATTTTCTCCCATTTTGTAGGTTGCCTGTTCACTCTGATGGTAGTTTCTTTTGCTGTGCAGAAGCTCTTTAGTTTAATTAGATCCCATTTGTCAATTTTGTCTTTTGTTGGCTTTTGGTGTTTTAGACATGAAGTCCTTGCCCATGCCTATGTCCTGAATGGTAATGCCTAGGTTTTCTTCTAGGGTTTTTATGGTGTTAGGTCTAACGTTTAAGTCTTTAATCCATCTTGAATTGATTTTTGTATAAGGTGTAAGGAAGGGATCCAGTTTCAGCTTTCTACATATGGCTAGCCAGTTTTCCCACACCATTTATTAAATAGGGAATCCTTTCCCCATTGCTTGTTTTTCTCAGGTTTGTCAAAGATCAGATAGGTGTAGATATGCGGTGTTATTTCTGAGGGCTCTGTTCTGTTCCATTGATCTATATCTCTGTTTTGGTACCAGTAGCATGCTGTTTTGGTTACTGTAGCCTTGTAGTATAGTTTGAAGTCAGGTAGTGTGATGCCTCCAGCTTTGTTCTTTTGGCTTAGGATTGACTTGGCGATGCAGGCTCTTTTTTGGTTCCATATGAACTTTAAAGTAGTTTTTTCCAATTCTGTGAAGAAAGTCATTGGTAGCTTGATGGGGATGGCATTGAATCTGTAAATTACCTTGGGCAGTATGGCCATTTTCATGATATTGATTCTTCCTACCCATGAGCATGGAATGTTCTTCCATTTGTTTGTATCCTCTTTTATTTCCTTGAGCAGTGGTTTGTAGTTCTCCTTGAAGAGGTCCTTCATATCCCTTGTAAGTTGGATTCCTAGGTATTTTATTCTGTTTGAAGCAATTGTGAATGGGAGTTCACTCATGATTTGGCTCTCTGTCTGTTGTTGGTGTATAAGAATGCTTGTGATTTTTGTACATTGATTTTGTATCCTGAGACTTTGCTGAAGTTGCTTATCAGCTTAAGGAGATTTTGGGCTGAGACAATGGGGTTTTCTAGATATACAATCATGTCGTCTGCAAACAGGGACAATTTGACTTCAAGAGGGTGGGTTTTATCCAATGGGTTAAAGACCTGAATAGAACTAAAAGGCTGCCCTTCCCCTAGTTCCTGCCTTTGGTCTCAAACTGAAACATCAGCTTTTTCGAGGACTCAAGCCTACTTTCCTGCAGACTATAACTACACCATCAGCCCTCCTGGGTTTCCAGCTTGCTGTCTCACTTTGGGACTTGCCAGCCTCCATAATCATTTGAGCCAATTCCTTACTTTCTCTCCCCTTGCCCCACACAAATCCACATGCAAACACACACACATGCACACATCCTATTGGTTCTGTTTCTCTGGAGAACCCTGACTAATACAGCATGATATGGAATTTACACACAATTTGTCTGTTAATCTTGATACCAACCTATGAGGTTGGTCCCATTGTTAGTCCCACTCAGGTGAGGAAACTGAGGCATGGTATGTTTAAGTAACATCCTAGTAAGCAAAAAAGCAAGGATTTAAATTAAAATCTCATGCCAGGTGCAAGGTTTTTATCCACAATGCACACTTCTGCTGCCCCAAAAAAGATCTCTTGTGCCTAAGAAAGTTGTATCCGTGTGGGGATAAAAGCCAGATTGCAGAGGGGTTAGGAGGTTGATGAGAAAATGAAGGCAGTAGCTTTAGATTTCTCATTCAAGTATTTGGCAGCAGAAAATAGAAAAGAAGTAAGGTGCTAATTATTAAAGGAAATAAGGTCAAAGGATGAACATTTCAATGCATGAGAACCTGTCAATGTTAGAAAGTAAAAAGATGCAGAGAAAGGGACTGAAGAATGTCCATGGTTGGGAAGAAATTGCTGCCTTCCTTTTTCTATGAAAAAAAGGAAAATAATCCCAGTCATGCTTCTGACCTCTAGGCAAATATCAGGTTACCTTCTGGGCCATTTAAATTTATCCTTCATTCCTAGCTACCAGACAGAGTATTTCCTTGCCTTGCTGATGAACAAGGCTCTCTGACAGATATTGACCATATAGTTGCTTTTTTCTTTCATCACCATTCAATTTGCTTAAATAAAAAGTCCAATGAAATATGACTTCCTTGAATATATCTACGCAGCATCTATCCTCTCCCGTTATTTTTGGATGTCCCTCTGGAGTGATTTGGCTATATGCATGTAACTCCCCATTCACCACATCTAACATGCAAGTCTTAAATTTTTAAAATTGCCTGGGCAGTCTATGGACAGTACAGTGCAGGTTGTCCATCTGTGACTTGAAATATGATACTCTGAATCGAAAGGAATTAGTCATCATATCCATCTCTATTGCATTTCGTGTCTCCTTTTCCTCCCCGTCGTTCACTAGACAGCAATGTTCACTGATCAAATATTCTCTGTAAATTGAGAGAACATTTAGCTGATTTATGGGGCTTTTAGCTATTATATACTTACCTATTCAATAAAAGTAAGTACTTACATCACATGACACATATGCTACCTTCACAATATAAGATCTTTCCTTCAAGGGATTCAGGCATCAAATTGTAATGAGATTTCTTGTAGCTAATACATCACTTAAGGGCAAACTGACATTCTGAATCTTTTTTTTTTTTTTTTTTTTTTTTTTTTTTTTTGCTTTTCATCAATGGAATTAAGATCATGGCATTCTTTGTAAGATCCCTAAAATTAAGATTTTTTTTCATGTAAATCTGTTGAATAAATTAGAGTAACAATTTGGTTTTGCACTTAAGGGAGAAAAAGGGCTACTGACATGGTCTTTTTTTTTCAAAATTGCCAATTTCCAGAACCAGAAGCAGAGTAAATGCTGCCAATGCATACATACCCTGGAAAAATCTTGAGGGAAAATACATCTTATGCTGATCTAATTTTTCCATATCAATAAATCAATAATTAATGAATACATATTTACTTTGTATAAATCTTTGAGTGTACAAAGAAGTATAAGACATAACCAACTGTATATTCCTTGAAAATCCATCTAATTCAGAGTTTCTCAGTGTTGGTACTATTGACACTTTGAGTCATTTTTTGTTGTCGGGGGCTGTCTTGTGCATTGCAGAATGTTTAGCAGAATCTGCCTTCTACCCAACAGAGGCCAGTGGCACTCTCTCTCTTGTGACAACCAAAAAATGTCTCTAGACATTGCCGATAGTCCCCTGGGAGGCAAAGTTCAGGTTGACTAGACTCTGTTCATCCTTATTTGCATTCTGGTCCCTTTAATCTCTGTAGCTTTTGGTTCCTGATCTGGAATGTTCTTTCCACCTTGCTGCAAACCCAACTTTATACATATAATAGCAAATAACTACCATTTATTGAATGTCTACTCCCTGCCAGGTATGGAGTTAAGTGTTTTACATACATGAACTCAGGTACTCTTGTTCCCACCTGTAAAGCTCTGAGAAGTTAAGTAATGTGACCAAAGTCCTTCGGCCAGTATGTGGCAGAATCAGCATTTGAATCCAGTGCCACCTGACTACAGCCCCTGAGTTCTCAACTATAAGGGCAGTGTGTTACATAGTTACTCATCACTTTGTATATCTGGTATTAAGTGGAAGACGGGTTAATACAATAGAGGAAGGAGAGTTTATTCTCTGGAATTGCCTTCCCTCCAAATAGAATGTCTGGAATTTAACTCTTCTCAAAAGTAAAGTTGTTAATCCATGAGTTGTTCATTGTGAAGAGAAATAGCCAAAACCTGTGACAAAGAGAAGCTACAAATTCACATGTTATAAAGTTAAGAACAAAAAGTCCATGCAGAACATCAGTTGGCTGATAAGTAAACCCCGAGGGCATAGGAAAGACCCACCACTAGTCAGGGAGGTCAAGAATGTAACCCCTAGAAAGGACACGGAGGTGGAGAGAGCCTGACTCTGAGTAACTGGAGGAAAAACATCATTTCCCAGCAAGGAACAATTAATGATTAAATGAAATTTCTACCTACATTATCAGGAATTAATTGGGTATAGATTATTTTCTTAGGTTGAATTTGATCAATTTTTATATGAAAAACAATTTGTCATTTTGGTTCATCTAAGCTAATTTGTATGTATTTAATATCTTTATAAATGGCTTGATTTAAGGTATTATTAAACCAGAAATATTGTGATGTGGGCATAAAAGTTTGAAAGACACTATCTATGTGTGCAAGATATGGTTTCTTTTGATGTTTTTAGGTTATCTATTACATAATAAATGACTTACACAATTTGTGCTCAAAATGGGACAGAGTTTGCTTACTGCCTGATTAATAATATTATATTAGACACTGTGGATAAGGCAGAAAATGATTATAACACAATTTCTAGTCCCCAAAATACTTAGAATCTAGTAGGGTAATTAAGACACATCGACAAGTAGCTATAACATAATGCAGAATGTGGTATGTGCAATAAGTGTTCTAAAAAGGATATCAGATTCTGAGGAGAGAGCATATTCAGTTTTAATATCAGAGAAGATTTCTGGAAAAGAAAACATTTAAAATGTGTCTTAAAAGAGTGAGTTGTAAGATGGAAAGAGGAGATGGAGGAAAAGATGTCATTTTAGGTATGGAGGGCAATGTAAGCAAAGATATGAGAATGGGAGGGGAGGCTGTTGGGATCTTTTTCAATCAATAGCTATAGGTAGCACATGAAATTTCAACATGTTTTCTTGAGCACCACCTCTGTGCCAGGCAATGTTATGTGGCACTCGTGAATTAAGGCTGGATAAAATGCAGGCCTACCCTCAAGGAGCAGGGAGAGCTAAGACAAGAAAAGCTATTTGAGGACAGACCATGGGGAGCTTTGAATCTGACCTCCAGACTAAGAGATTTGCACAATACTTAACCATTTAAACTTTCAGTCAGGGACCTCTGTTGCAATATAATTAGAATTATATTTTAGGCAGATGAATTTCATAGACAAATGAATATAGGAACATAGAGAGAATTCTTACAAGATTATCATAATGGTCCAGGAAAAAGATAGTGCAAGAATAGAAAACAGATTTATAAGTGAGAATTTCAGCAGGAGAGATCATCAGAATTGGGCATTTGATTTGTGGACATGTATGTGTTGGCAGTGGTTTATCCTTTTGAGTCTAACAAGCTAAATTTATCTGCTTTTTAAAACATGAGAAAATATGATTAAATAGTTGTCTTCACCATTGTCTGTAAACACAATTATACTAAAAACGACTTGATGGATATATTTCAGGAACAGTAAGGGGAGGCTATGATCCTTGGCTCAAAAAGAAAACTGAAGGACTAAAATAAAGATTTTCTGGGAATTCAAAAAAGCTTTGAAGATGATAATTTTTTTTAATTTAAACTCACAAAGCACAATAGAATTAAAATGCCTGGATTATCTGGACTAGTTACATTCCAGAAATTGAGTCAGTACACTTGATACAATTTCTCTCTTACCTTTGCATATTTATTTTAAATATAACTTAATGCAAACAACAAAAATCTACAACACCCATTTTTTAAATTAGTACTCCAAAATGTTCAAGGGGAAATTAGCTTAAGGAATTTGTCCTGGCATACCAAATCCTGTATACTGTAAGCATCAAGAAATTTTTATTCTTTTCCTCTAACACTGCAAAAACAAACAAAATTTGCACCCTTAATATCAACATCTAAAAAATGAGACTGCTAGAAGTGACATTGTCAATGCCAATACTGTATCAATACCATGCAGGCACACTGAATGTCAGCCAGTTGGGAGAAAACATCCTTTCAACAACATCCCCAGCCCAGTTCCAGCAAATTCCTATCGCAGCCAAGGGCAAAACTCTAAAGACATACCCTAATCTACAGTTCTGTCTGCCAGAGTCTAAACTCACATGGATTAAATTTACACCCTGGAAATTTTTCTTAAGAGGCACCGCCTTTCATGGCAGGTGATAGAACCGGAGGGCGCTGATAAAATCATTGCAAAAGGAGGACTCTGTTCTACTTGTGTTGTCTGGTGATCCCAATAGGAGAATTAAGATATGGCTGGTGTTCAAATAGCATTCCTTCACAGATCAATAGATGATGCCAAAAGAATCAGTCAATCCAAGGAAGCATCTGATCTCACCTGAGCAGGGCCTCATGTAGCTCAAACAGTGGGTGAAAGTTTTCTCCCTATTTTTCATCAGAGTGGTGTAGTCAAGGGTCACTGAGGCAAGAACAAATTATTCAGCATTCAGGTATTGTCTAGGAGAATGTTGCAGGTGTCTTCCCCTGCAAACCAGTTTTCCTGAATGCCGTGGAGGAAAACTTGAATTTAGTTTAAAAGCCTATCCCTTGTTCTAGGTGAGTCTACATTTAGGCAACATAAGAAAATTATCTGAATATTAGTTTTTATCCAGAATAAAAAGAATTAAGAAGAATAAAGACAAATCTTAATTTGGGGGTGGGGAGGGAGCGAGGAGAGTGATTAAAAAGTCAATGTCTTAAGATTTTTAATAGAAATGTATCTAAATGAATTTTTAGAGCCACATTATGACATATTCAATATTAAATCCATGTTACAGAGGCAGGGGCGGGCAGATCACTTGAGGTCAGGAGTTCGAGACCAGCCTGGCCAACATGGTGAAACCCCGTTTCTACTAAAAATAATAATAAAAAAAGTAGCTGGGTGTGGTGGCAGGCGCCTGTAGTCCCAGCTACTCAGGAGGCTGAGGCAGGAGAATTGCTTGAACCCAGGAGGCAGAGGTTGCAGTGAGCCGAGATCGTGTCACTGCACTCCAGCCTGGGCAACAGAGCAAGACTTCATCTCAACCAGGGGAGAAAAAAAAAAAAAGAAGAAGAAAAAGCACACAAGTGAAAAACATGACAATAACCATTTTTAGAAACCTAAACATAACTTTGAAATGATACGCCAACCTGTTTCTCACTCCTCTGGAGATAGGAAAAGATGAGATATTTTTATCTTTATTAAGAGAAATAAAAATGAGATGTAATGAACCTCTGGACCAGGAGTGTCCAATAGGACTGTCTGTAATAAAATAGAACTTTTACCCTGCTGTCCGATATGTTAGCCACCTGCCATAGGTTGCTAAGTGAGCACTTGAAATATGTGACTGAGGAACTATACTTTTAATTTTGCTTAATCTTATCAAGTATGCCTTTGAATTTAAATCCCTACATGTGGCTAGTGGCTATTGTGTTGGACAGTTCAGGTCTAGGCAATGCCAATTGCTAAATGTTAGACATGTGGTCCTGAATAAAGGTAGGAGAATCTTGCAAGACCTTTTGCCGATCATCTTCTGCATTTGGTCAGACCTTTCCTACCATAGCCGCATATTTGCCTTATTTATTTAAGTAGAATCTCATAAGCTAGAGTGGACTCTGGAATTTGAAAACCTTAAATAGCTAGATGTATGCTTCATTTTTAAAGCTTGTGAAGTAGAGAAGTCATGTCTAAGAAGCTATGTAGACAGTTATTATTTAGCTAGGTGAAGAGCTTGAGAAAGATTATTATTATTAACCAAAATGTATTTCCTTTCTATTGCCTCAGGTTAGAGGAAGAAATGCACCTCTTGCATAAATCACAGGTGGCAGTATAATATCATATCACAGATGGTGTCCAAAGTAAAAATCAGTTTGTGTTTCAAACTGATTTGTAATAGTAAAATAAAAGTTATAAATAGGAAAAAGAACTCAGAATTCTTTTCTCCAGGAAAACTTAAAATTAGATTCCAACAGCAGCCACAGAAACCAAATTAACCTCTCAGTGATATTACTACATAATACCACGGGTAATATTCCATGGCGTGAAGTGATACAACTGTACTAGAAGTTAAAATATTGAAATATTATTGTATACTCAAAAATTAGCCACTGCCTTGCCTGAAACCCTCACAGCCTTTACTGTTTAAGACCAGCATGTCTCCCATGAGAAAATCCAGAAACTAAAGGACTGAAGCTTGGACCAGCAAAGGGCTGCCTGGACTTGAACCGCAAAAGGCATTTTTCATCATTGGTCACTGCCTATGCTGTGTCCATTGCCAAATAGTTTCCATATAATCCCCAGCATGCTCTTCCTATAGTATTATTGTACTGGAAGGTATGTTAACTGTGGGACATATACAGATGATCCTTGACTTATGATGGGGTTACATCCTAATAAACCCATCCTAAGTTGAAAATACCATATATCAAAATGCACTTAATACTCCTAACCTGCTAAACATCATAGCTCAGCCTAGATTATGTTAAATGCGCTCAGAAGACTTTCATTAGCCTACAGTGGGGCAAAATTATCTAATACCAATCCTATTTTATAATAATATGTTGACTATCTCGTGTAATTTATTGAATATTGTACTGAAAGTAAAAAAAACGGAATGGTTGTGTGGGTACTCAAAGTAGATTTCTACTGGACGCACATCATTTCTGCACCATCATGGAGGTGAAAAATCATAAGTTGTACCATCCTAAGTCAGGGACCGTCCTTGCTTGATTTCTGAAAGATCACAAACTTTTAAAACTGAGTAGCAAAGGTGTAGAACTGTATAGAAAATATATATTTATATCCCAGATTCTAAGTTCTATGCAGAAGTATAGCTAACTGCCATGTTGTTAAACGGTCAAATACATACAGGTTTATGCCCTCTAAAATCCTACTTTGAGTAGCTCTGACCCAGCAATCAATCCCTTTGCCTAACACCTGTGGGTGAAGTGGTGTCCTTCTCCAGCTTTGTGCCTGCTAAGTAGAGCCCACCACTGAAAAGGTTTTCATAGGCTGAATTACAGTGAATTACTAAGAGCAATTTAAAAATGGAGATGTGTATTTTCCTAGAGGTCTGTTTTTCTAGGAAGCATTTTTGTTGGAACTATATAGTTTGGATGAGTTATTTCACATATGAAGATGACTCTTAATTTTTAATCCTAAAAAACTAGGAGAAGATTAATCATTGAGAGGAAAATTGATACATTAAAAGCATTTTAGCATTAGTGCCCTACATTTTTCTAACTTCTCTTAGTTTCACCAAATTCTAAACTTCTCAGCAGTGTATGACGAAGCCTATTATAACATTATTTGTTAGATAAACCTATGATGAGTGTTTTAAACAAGTCATGAAACCTTTTGGCTCACTTCTGACAGTTATAAATTTTTATTTAGTCCCTAATCTCAGAACATTTACAAAAAGAATTAGGTCATGTAACTAATGTGTTTTTAGATTTGAGCTATTCTTTTGCCCTTCTGCTCCTTTGAAAACCATAAAAATATTGCATACTACAATGTCAACTCAATCTTTTGTATACTTATTCTACTTATGTACATTTATTTGCCAGTGACATATTCTCTAGCCGTTCATCACCATAGAAGATATAGAGGTGATATATCATATGATTTAAATAGCAGTTGTCTTAAGAAATGAACTGTGCTTCACATTTTGCATAGTTACATGTTTTAACTTGTCTTACATACTATTCCTTGTGGATTCTGGGACTCTGGCACTAAGTTAATTAATATGATTCAGATAAAGGCGTTCCAAAGAAAATAAAGAATACCACTATTAATACCACAATCACTGTTAAGTGGGATTTTTCCATTGGGATACCATGGAAATTTTTTCTTGACCCTAAAAAGATGAGTTGTTTTTTTTTTTTTTTAATCCAAGAGAAAGCCAGAATCCTAAATAACAAGGGAGGATACTAGATACAATATTTATCTTTTCCTTTTACTTTCAAGTAATTACTTTGCTTTATGACCTTGCCAGCTGGACCACAACCAAGCTTCTTACACAGAGTGAGTCAAAACTAATCCATCCTCTCTATTAGAAAGGGTTATGAACTGTCCCCAACCACAACACTTTCAGAAGACAAATTTGGAAGAGCCTCTTTCAAGAGACCACCATCAGTTAGGAAGGGTTGGTGCCTTTCAAAGACTGCTCCATTCAATACCAGTCATCTCAAAGAGTAGGGGCAATTTTCATCCCCTATTGTCAACCATCTATAACACAGTCACTGCAACATGAAAGAGAAAGAAGGTTATTCCTTTGCATAGATGCTTGTGAACATAATCATCAGAGAGCAAATATATGGTGAGGCAGAACTTAGCACATCAAATTCATGACATGCAATAGGTTGGTTACCCTCAATCAGAAACAAATAAAACAATGTAAAACGTAATCAGCATCAGCAAAACTATCTCACATCTTGAGATTCTTTAGATGCATTTTTCATCTCCAAAATTTGGAAGATGACCTAAAGTTCTAAAAACATTCACACAAAGTCTGAACTGAAGATTCATAGAAGCTGAATTTGGAGATTCCAAATGGGGCAAAGCCAGGAAGTTAAATGGAGCTGATTTTAGTCCCAAGGACCTCACTAACTAGAAGTGGGAATTAGGCATTTTATTTCTTTGAGCTTAATTTTCTGTATCTGCTAAATGAGAACAAGAATATTCGTTATTCATCTTCCACTTAAAGGCTATAATGAGATTTGGAGGAATATGTGTAGCTCCCTGCCCCTCCAATGAAGTACACATACTCCTGGTTGCAAGGTCCTTGAAACCATGGGATACCAACATTGCATCTTCCTAGAGCATCAATTTTACTATAAGATTTTGTAAGATAGTCGAAACAGTTTTGAATTAGGCTTTTTTATTAAAATAAAGATAGTTATATCATGGATTTTGTGTGAATCATTAAGATAAAATGTAAAATTTCAAAAAAAAATCTTACTTTGGGGGAACTTCTTTGGCCCATACTCCAGGAACTCCAGCATTAATCATTCATTCTTGTCTGCTGTTTGTGATTCTTAACTGGAAAAATTTGGTAATCCCCATAAATGAAAGCATTTTAAAACTTAAAAGCTGTCTACGAACGCATGCTCTTCATAGCAGTCTCAATGGTAATTTTGTCAAATAAGGGAGCATCCTTGAAAACTGTTTTTATCTAGCATCTCTTTTTTATGCAGAGCTACCAGTTTGTTCTTCTGTTTGGGATGTTTGTCATCATCTCATGTATCTACTTACATATATACTTTTATTACACCCATTCCCCAGTAAAAGAAGCAGATCTGAGAAGCTCAATTGAGTAATCCCCAGAAATAAAGAGATTGATGAATAAACGCTGGCCACACCAGCCCAGGCTCCCCTAGGGCTCCTGAGACTGGCTGGAGCAGAGCGGCAGATGGGGTATTGTCTCTAGCCAGCCATGCTCAGCTGGTCCCCTGTGTCTCCCATTCTGACTATGATCATCATCTGAATATGCATTTCAGCCTCACTTTTCTAATGGATGCAGAATAGTTTTAACTAAGCACCATGAAGATTTCAACCAAATGAACAGAAATTCTGTAGATTGTGTCCTGTATTGGAAAGATACTGATATTTGTTTTAGTGCTTCCAGTATAAACTCAAACTCTAGGGATAGCAAGCATGCAAGAGGCAAGAATCACTCCGAATAGTTAAAAATCTAGCTGACTTCATTATAATGCAAGCCTAGTATGAAACCCATGGCCTCCCTCTAGCCAGTTTACAAAACTTTACAGAGTGCATTTCATCAGTTAATTTCACTTTTGGTCATGTCATATTTTTTCTACTCTAATTTTTCTTTTACTCTGACTTCTTCACCGCTTTTTATATTTTACCTTGTAATGTGTGTGCATGTGGTGTGTGTACTTGGCAGCAACCTTGTGTATGTGTGTGCATGTGTGTACTTGGAAGCAATCCTGAATGATATAATAAATACAATATTTTTATTTTTTATTATTTTGCCTATGAGGTTTTTTTTAAAATCTAAAAGGAAGCCAGAATCCTAAATAACAAGGGAAGATACTAGATACAATATTTATCTTTTCCTTTTCTTGAAAATGATTAGAGGAAATGAAGAAAATACAGTTAAATTCTTCTTAGCAAGGTTCTCCACATTATGATTTTACTCAAAATTCCTTTTCCCTTTCTACATCATGCATTCACACATAGTAAAACTTACTTTGCAGAATCTTGTTGCAATATTTGTATCTGTTTGCTGAATACCTCTTTGAAACAGGAATTTTACTGGGTTTTTTTTTTTGCATAGATTATTTTGTGTAATCCTCACAGATATCCCAATTTTAGACATGAGAAAACTATAATTTGCGGCCATTTTCGGCCTCTTAGCTTCAATCAAAATTCTCCCTGGTTCTATGTTATTTCTAGGAAAGCAAAATAATGCCATTGGAAGATTAATAACAATAATAGTAATTCCTTGAGTACCTACTACATGCCATCTGTAGGTATAATGCTGACCTGGCTACATCCGCTATTTTACTTAATTCCTACGGCAAACTTGAACATGGCCCTTGCTCCTTTTGTAGCTAGAGATTCTTAGACAAAGTGAGGTTCCATGACCTGTACAAGACCCCTTAGCTACCAAGCATTAGAACGAAAATTTCAGATAAGTTCTGCCTGTTCTAGTGTCAAATATAACATTCTTTAATTGCACCAACCAGTTCTTCATTATTTATAAGTTGCAGGTAGTGTGTCACCCTGATAATTTCTTTCCTAAGTTATTTTCCTGCTTGCAAAAGTTTCTCTTTATATATTCTCAGCCCCAATTCTTTTTTTTTTAAAAAAGGTAATCCAACATAAGAGAGAAGAAAAATTGACAGAGGATAACATAAATGAATGTAAACGAAGAAATCAGGCTAGGAGCTATTTGGCTGGGATTCCTGCTTGTTTGCTGGTAACTCACCTTTGTAAAGTGGCCATATGTTCTCTCCCCACTAGCTGGCAATAACAAGGGGAACGTGCTGCTCCCAGCCCTCTTAGCTGGCCTGCTTCTCATTTCGGTCCTCTTCAGTCTAGAGGCATCACTTACTGAACAGCTGTAATCAGGCTATTAAAAGCGGTACATATAATTTAAAAAACAAATCCCAGACACATGTAACTACTGTATTGCTGGCTCATCTGTCTAAATGTCATATTGAGTGGGGCTATGGTGGCTGGGGAAAATAAAAGTTGCTGTCTGCCACTGCAGTTCCTAAAGTCCAACATTAGGAACATATCTATAGAAGGACATAGAAGTGGTGATGAACAACTGTGGAAAGAATGTTAGTGATGTGGAGGTTCAAGCCAAGGAGACTACTGTTAACCCCAGCCCAGCCTCGGTTATGTGCAGCATGGGGAATCTTTAGGTCTGTAGGAGATTCAAATCCAGGTTTGGTTCACTGGGTTCCCATTGATCCGTTACTCCTGAAATCACTTTGAATTCTGCTGTTTAGTTTAGTGTATTATCCTACCTCTTTCTCTCCTCTTTGCCAGCAATAGTTAACTAACATAAAATGTTCTGATTTAACCCATCAGGCAAAGCCAGAGATCCAAACTAATGAGTCTCAGAAATGTGAATTTCATTAAATGTTGAACAGGCCACTTTCAATCAGTTTGGAAGCTTCTGGGAATCATGAGCTGAGGTTAGACTGTTCTCACAACTTGATCACACTCAGTTGTTTACTGTGGCCAAGCTAGAACAAAAGGTTTTGTTTTATTTTATGCATAAAATTTTTCTGGAACAGAGAAGTTAAATGAGTAGAAATATGTAATGGACATTAATGATGTGATTTTTTTTTCTTGTCCTGTATTGTTTTCCAATTGTTTCACTATTTGTGTCTTTTTCAATTAGTAAGTTGGAAGATGAAAGAAAGATAGGGGCTTTGTATTTATTATCCTTCATTCACAACACTTTAACATAAGCTATTTTAATTTCTAATTTCTTACATATCGATAGAGGCTCTTATAACATATTGTAACTGTTGTTCTTACAAAATGCTATGCCTGCTTCATAAATAAATGGTTGCCTTGAATTTTTAGGCTTCGCAAATTTATATCTACAGATGACATTTGATATCCTATTTTATTGGATAATTGATAGTGGGACAATTCTACAGCAAGAAGCTTTTATCAAACTCTCACGTGTGTCTGCTCCCTGCTGGAACAGATGCAGTCCTCTCTTCAATCAGTACCAGCTAAAATACTTAACTAGGCTGAAAAGCTAAATATGTTATCTAACTGCATAAATTGGGCGTTTGATTCTGTCTTTTATAGTACACTCAAGACTGGTTTAGAAATTCTAAGAGTCTCAGTCCTTGTGGTTTAATTGAAACTGACCCGTCTCTAGCCCTTGGGTGGTGCTGTGATACCTAAGGCATCAGATGCCCAGTGCTGCAGGCCACAGTGATTGGTCCAGGAGAACCAATGAGAAGCAAGGACACTCTTGCTGGCGATGTTGGGGTAGAACAGTTCCCGCACATATGCAGCGGCTGTTTCTGGGGTTTCTATTCCATTAATCAGTTTTTTGATTCCTGTGCCAATGCTGCCCTATCTTCAGTACAGTAGTCTATGAGAAGCCATGAGATATGATAAGACAATTTCCCCAAATTTATTCTTTTAGGCATGTCTTGGTACACTTTGTCCTTTAATATACATTTTAGAATCAGCTGGCCAGGTTTCTTTATAACTCTTGATTGGAATTTGCAATGAAGTCATAGAACATTTTGGGGATAATTAACATTGTTAAGATTTTGAGCTTTCTTAAATACAAACATAAGGTATCTCTCCATTTTTTTCTGAGTTACCTTAAAACTTTTAATAAAGTTGTATATATTTATTTATAAAGTTTATATATAGTTAGATTTATTCCCAGATACTTTATATTTTTGTTTCTATTATGAACTTTATCTTTCTAAAGTATATTTTCTAAGTTTTTCTGCTAGCATATTGAGATACAATTGATTTTTATATATTGATCTTAAATTAGGCACTTGAGTAAACTCTTTTAATTCTAAATTTTTGTGGATTGTTTTGGATCAGTGTTTCTCAGCTTTTTTATTATTGCCCCACCTCCAAGGAAACTTTTAGATTATTTTTTTCCTAATTGCCCCCTCACCCGAATCAATCAATTTTAATATCACAGGGTCACTGTGTGTCTGTTTAAGTACATCTATGCTTTATACATAAAAAGAGTAAGATTATTTTGCCTACCAAGAATAGATTTTCTCTCTTTATGGAGTGACATCACCTCATTGAGAATGCATGTCTTGATTAAAAGGAAGATCATTTGAGACCTGATGTATATTTTTTAGAAGTTCCTTGCTGTAGTTCTCTTGGCAGTACACTCTTAGTTTTGTTTATCTGAAAGATAATATTACCAGGCATAGTTCCAGGTTGACTGTCATTTTCTGTCAGTACTTTGATACTATTCTACTAACTTCAGGCTTCCATTGTTGATGTTGAGAAACCTGCTTGCGATTCCTTTGTAGGTGATCTGTTTTTCTGCTTTTTGAATGCCTTTAAGATCTTCTCATTGTTTTCAGTGGTCTGTACTTTCACCACAATGTGTCTGAATTTATTTTTATTTGTCTTGCTTAGTATATGTTGTATTTTATATTGCTGAAGATTCATGGTTTTCATCAGTTCTAGAAAGTTCTCAGCCATGTTCTCTTCAATACTGCTTCTCCTCCCAAAAGAAAATAAGTGCACTAATAAGCAAGAAAGGGAAACGAATGCCAAAAAATAATTGTCCACACATGCTGCAGACCAGTCCTCACAAAACTGACATCCTTAGTGATGAGAGGACATGGATGTTGATGCAGAGTATTCGTGCATGTAGATACAAAGTATTCAAGCATGGCCACACAGGCATGCAGACCTACACCCAAGGAGGGGGCTATCATGGCCTCGCCTCATCATCATGCTTTGCTAGCAGGGGCATTCCTTAGTCCTATTCTTGGTCCCTAAATCAGCATCTGAAAAACCATCTTTTTTAAAAAAAAACCCAAGCCTCTGACTTAATATCCCCAAACATTTTTTCTCAAAAGAATGAATTTTCTTCTTACTGCTTTATTGAAGCATTTCCCAAAGTATGTTCCATAGAATCCAAGTGCTTGGGATGCTACTGGGTATTATACATTCTCTTAAATCCATTACTAAATAAGTCTGGGAACAGTTCACTTAAGCGTGATGTTTTAAGACTGCTGTATTACTAGACCCTAGAAGCTTTACTATGACAAGTGGGCATTGGGATCTTCTAGAATGGGACCCAGTACCTGAACTTTTAACACACACCCTTACACCAGTGACCCAAATTGCCCTCCCTTCTCCAGATGATGATGGCCATCAAAAGTGGATCTTCTTTCTCTACGGAATAGTTTCCTCTTGGATGTTCCCCACATCGGAAGCACAGGAACATATTTAGAATCAAGAGCTTAATCAGTGCCAGGCCACAGAGTCTGTCCATCCCAGCAGCATTTTCTGCCCATCCCACTGTTCCTCAGGCCTCATTTTATCTGCCTGGAGCAACTGGTGACAAAGTACAACTAGAGAGTTAGCTTTTTATTTTCTCTTTTTAACTTTTCTTTGATAGGATTATATTATTTTTATAATAAAATTTCAAAGTATTTTTAAACTTAATCTTATTTTAGTATTAAGAACTGTCTGTCCAAATAAACCTCTACATAAAATTTCAAAAAAAAAAAAGAAATTCTAAGAGTCTAAAGGAGTCAACCTCATACTTAGTATTATTCAGCATCTCACCTAAAATGCCACTTCTTTGAGCACTATGGATATTTTACAAGTTTTACATAGTCATATAAACTGGCACATGTAACTGCTTTTTAATGCTTGATATAATGAATGTGTAATCAAGAGGTAAGTGGTAGATTTCAAGACAAATAGCTAGAAAAGAGGATTATTGAATTGCATTTACAAAGTGGAAAAGATATATCAAAGGAAAAAATAATGAAAATCATCCCAGGTGAGAAAAAGCAAGAAATTAAGAGTGAAAAATAAGCTATAAATATACTTAAAATAACATGTGGAAGAATAAGTTACACACAAACCATCCAAATGTCCCAAGTGGACAACGAAAGAAGTGGAAGTCATGAGGAAGTTCTATTAATGTGCTGTGGTCCACTTAGGCATCATAAGTGGACATTACATATACATACATACTATATATATATATCATATATACACATATACGTTATATATATATATGTATATAATGCCACTTAGGCATTATTTATCTATTCATGTTTTGGAACTCAGATCTTTAAGCCTCTCTAGTACGTCCTAGTGCTTTTGCGGGATTTAGTTATACATTTACTTAACTCTTCTGCTATGAGGAAAAGTTGGTAGGAGGTTGAGTTTGTGTTACATTTGTCTGTGTATTGCCAGCATGTGGCACAAAGCCCAGAACACCAACAGCAAGATTAAAAATACAGTTAAATAAATGAAGAAATAAGTGGATGAATAAATGAATGAATTAAAAAACATCTTGTCAAGAAATTGGAAAACTCGGAGTAGAGGTTAGTAGCTGATTACTAGCAATCTACTAGTTGGCCTTGAAATTTTCCTGTACATCTGTAAGTTGGTTGACCTTAACATACCATCCGTGACCTAAACTAATTTTAACTTGCCTCTTTGTTAACTAGCACACAATCTTTGCCCTCAATAAAGACAATTAGTAAGATATCAGGTCCAGAATTTAGGAGAAAAACATTTTTAAAAGCTATGTAAAGAGTAAGTCCTCTCTCTAAAACTGCTTTAAGTCTGCACAAGAGAACTCATAACAAATTAAAAATAGCATCTCAACAAAATTAAATATACACTATGATTTTAGTTACTATCCAACATAAAATTTACATGGATAGGAAAATAGAAGAGAATGCAATACATTAAACTAGTAACACTAATTGCTTTGAGGTGGTGAAATTATGGGCAATTTCTATAGTTTTTACAATAATCCACGTTTTTCTTGATCAGTTAAAAAGTTAATTTTAAGAATACTTTAAAAACGCAAAATTTCATTAAGCTCTAAATAGCAAAATACTAGTGACTATGTGAAGAGTGACTTCCAAAGTAAAAGGAATGATCAAAATGATATTAGGTGAATGAGAGACTTCATAGTGGAAGTCAGTTCATGCATTTGTGGGGAGGGCAAGCGGGGAGCTCAGGATGCACTCAGGGTTTCTGGATAGAGTCACTCCCCTGGCCTATGGTCATACAGACACATTTATTTGGACTGCACAACATGGATTAATTCGAGCAAAACTTGTTTCTTTGAATTTGGTCTGACATTTAAAGCTTGTGAAATGCCACACACAAAATAAGAACCATATTTCTGGTTTCTCTTGAAAATTGAATCTATGGCAATGCCTAATTCACATTTTTGCATGGCTGCAATGATCTAGAGCTCATAAGTACCAGAGTTGGTCACATTTTCTTCACTTTGGTTTCCCCCTTCACCTAGCGCACCACACCTGTTTATTTTCCCTGCCTGCATCTCAGGAGGCCTTTGATATCCTGACTCCATTTTAGTTCTTGTTTCTTCAAATCAGGAAACAGAAACTTGGGAGAAATAGAGATTCTTTTTTATTTTTCTCTCTTGTTGTATGTGCTCTTCTGAGTTTTGTGTGAAGAGCTGGGGTGAGAGCAGAAGGACTTGACCTGTAATATTTAACCAAAAGAAACGATGACCCAAATAGCCACCGGTGAGTGAATGGATACACACAATATGTGATATGGTTTGGCTGTGTCCCCACCCAAATCTCATGTTAAATTGTAGTTTCCATAATCCCCACATGTGGGAAGGACCCAGTGGAAGGTAATTTAATCATGCGGGTTGTGAACCTCATGCTGTTCTCATGATAGTGAGTTCCCACAAGATCTGATGGTTTTATAAGGGGTTTTCCCCCTTTTGCTCATTCTTCTCCTTCCTGCCGCCATGTGAAAAAGGACGTGTTTGCTTCTCCTTCTGCCATTATTGCAAATTTCCTGAGGCCTCCCCAGCCCTGTGGAACTGTGAGCCAATTAAACCCCTTTTCTTTATAAATTACCCAGTCTTGGGTATGTCTTTATTAGCAGTATGAGAACAGAGTGATACAATATGTTATAGACATACAGTGGAATATTATTCGACCTTAAGAAAGTAGGAAATGCAGACACATGCTACAACATGGATAAGTCTTTACGACATTATGCTTAGTGAAATAAGCCAGACATGAAAAGACAAATATTATATGACTCCACTTATATAAGGTACTTAGAGTAGTCAAAATCATAGAGACAGAGAGCCGAATGGTGGTTGCCAGGGGCTGGGGGGTGAGCGTAGTGGGGAGTTACTGTATAATGGGTAGAGAGTTTTAGTTTTATGAGGTGAAAAGAGTTATGGAGATAGATGGTGATGGTTGTACAACATTATGAACAGTACACTTAAAATGATGAAGATGGTAAGTTTTATATTATTTTGCCACAATAAAAAATTAATAACATTTAAGAACACAGTTTAGAACAGAAATGGTGAGATACATTATTGTTTCCTTTGAGTGGAATGTATACAAGAATTTAAGATTTCATGTCAGCCCAGAAGGGTAGGATATAGAATCTGTAGACTTTGCAAATGGCTGAAATTTTCATAAAGAGGTAATTTTTCTGAAACTAATCCACTTCTAGAGTTTTGAAAATTAATGTTTCTAAGGCAAAAGTGACAAATTTGAGAGATGATTTATGAAATGGCTATGAGTATTTAGAGGTTTGTTTTGACCAGGATGAATTAAATATAACTATTAAAGACATATATTTAAATTATGCCAGATTAGAAATTATAGAGCCCTTCCCAATGGCAAAGATGCATTTACCAGGGAGCAGTTTGAACCTTCCCTGGGCACTCTCAAGAATAACGCTCTTGCCTGGGGAGTGAAGGGACAGGAGAAGGAGACTGAGAAAGCAGGACAAAATTAATGACCTCTGGAACTTCCAGATGTGCATAACTTAATTTTCTGTAATATTTGGAGAAGGACAAATACAGGTGAGATCAAAATAGCCAACGTGTGTGTCTCTTCTATCTGGAGGTGTTCGTCCCTCATGACTCCCTGAAGGTGTTGGCTTTGTCACACATGCAGCTGAAGCTGCTGACTAAACTGCAGTGAGAATATAGCAATAACCTCATGAGGGGTGTTTCTTGTCAAAAGCAAGGTAGCCATGTTCTCACTGGCCTCTGTCCTCAAGTACAAGGAAGGAGAAAAGTAAAATCTCTTTATTTTTATCCTCTTGGTATGTTCAAAGGGTTTTTCTTATCATTTTCCAATTATAGTTAAATTGCATCTATTATTATTTTTCATCTCTTTAGTCTGTGTCATAATCACTAGGTCTCCTCCATGTATAAATCTGGCACATCAGACCACAATGTGCACTGTCAGCTCCTATGAGTGAAATCTATGGCACTTGCGGAGCTGTCCCACTTTTGCCTTTGTAGCAACTTTTAGACCACAATAATCATCATCAGTTTAAAGCAAGCAGATCCATTACATTTCCTCCGTTCCTACGGCCCCACATGAAGCTAATATTATCTATTTCCCAAGTGAAAAGAGTCCTTCCAGTCCTATCAATTATTAATTCCTTGCTTGCAGCTAATGTTTTCTTTGAATTATTTAAATGCATCTTCATTTATCAATAAACATAAAATGTTAAACAAAGAATACTGATGAAGGGCATTATTTAAGCTATAACATTTTATGAGGTTATTTCAAGCGCCTTTTCTGATTTATTAACACAATATATTCTATAATTATTTTTCCCTTTCTAAAAAAAGTTATTCTGGGTATCATGTAGAAGTTTGCAGATTTTGTGAGTGCTGTCTTCAACTTCTATTGTGATTTTGATCAGTTTCTTTTAACATATTCTTAAATTCTTATGAATACATCTGTATGTACCTCTCTCTCTCTCTCCCTCTCTCCCATTCTCTTTCTCTCTGTATATATGTATACACACACATACATTTACACACAAATGTGCATATATAAATGTACATGAGTGTTTTTATTTACTAATACACGAGTTCATTATCCCTCATCTGATTCTTAAGAAATTAAAGACACAATTAAGTTTAAATTTTCTACTGTGAATTCTACAATATTGTATTCATCAAAGCATATTTGTATGGATTTACAAACATGTATACAAACATGAATTAGGCAAGTAGACAAAGAATAGTACTTTTTATTGTTTAAAGATACAGTTTTAATACTGAGGCAAATAAACAACAAAACTGCCTACCATTTATTATAATTTTTTAAGACTTAGCAATAGCACCCACATGTGTACATGTGCACAAACACTTATACGAATAAATCCTACTTGCCTATATTCTCTTTCATTTTTCTGTTTTGTAACCCAAAATAAAATATGGCCTACTGAGAAGTCCAGGTACAACATGAGTACATTTTTATCCTATCACCTTCTAAAATAGAATGAAACTGAGTATTCTAAGTAAATATTCCATGTATACCAAATCAGAAAAATGAAATCTTTGTGCACACTGATAAAATAAAAACTTTAAGGTAATAATTAATGATCCAACTCATGCCCCTTTCACTGACATTTATTTTAGAGTGATGGTATTCTTTAAATGTTATACAATTAGTTCTAATCAGTTCTTTCTACAAATTTGAAAACTCTGAATTCTCTGCTGATACAAATTATCCAATAAAAATCTCTATACATGTACAATCATGGTGTTATGTTAAGACATACATACATGCTAACAATAGTTATATAATTATTTTAAATATTCAACAACATGCTTTGAAATATCAAAGATTGTTTACTTGATAGCACTCAAAAAATTCAAATAATTATATACTATTTCAGCAATACAATTTTGAAGCAGACAGTGATCTTGGAAGTCATGTGATCCAGACCTTACTGTATAAAAACTAAAAAACTTGTATCTAGGAATGTTATTGACTTGGCCATGGTCATAAAGCTAGTAACACTCACTACTAAAGTTCATAGATAAATGTAAGTTTTTGCTGCATTTGCTTTGAGGAAAGAAAACTGTACATTTCAAATGGCATATATGGTTTATCAATATTTGCTTTAGGTTGAAATTCATTAATTTTTAAAAAGTCAATGGAAACAGAGTTACCTCTCAATATAGTAAGGCTGTGATTGTATAAATGAAGTTTTGCAAACAAAAATGTAGCAAAATTCAGGCAATGGTAAGAAATCATAATGTCCATTGTGAGCATCTGTAAGATTTTAAATTGTATGACATAAGGTTCTATAAATTATTTTGTGACATCAAGTCAGGATAAGCCCTAAGCAAAATGTGAACTAAGGGAAATAGTTCTTTTATGTGCTACTCTCTTCCTTTTAGGTAGTGAATAATCTCTAAGGCAACAGCTAATAATTGCTTACCTCCAGTTTAAGGCATTTCATACACAAGGTGACAGGCACTATCCTAGCCACTTTAAATAAAATGTTTTATTGTTTCTAACAACAACTGTTTTGGCCAAACTTTATTGTCCCTGTTCGATGGAGGAATCCACACTTAACAGAGGTGAAGTGATTTTCCTGAAGTAATTAAGTGGATAGGAAAATCTTAAAGCCCATGCTTTTCCATTAAAAACATGCAACTTTATCACATGAAAGCTATGAAGAGCTATCAAGGGGGTTTTGTTTGTTTGTTTGTTTTTTAAACAGCTTTATTAAAGTAAAATTAACATACAAAAAAACTCACATATTTGAAGTATACAATTTGATAAATTTTGACATATGTGCATACTTATAAAATAAGCACCCTGGTAAAAATAGTGAATATAATCATCCTCCAAAAATCTATGGATCAATTTGGGGATAACTGACACCTCAATGTTGCTGAATCTTCCTATCCTTGAATAAGGTATATTTCTCTAATTATTTAGGTCATCTTTAATTTGTCTCTGCAGTGTTTTGTAATTTTCAAACTACAAGTCATACATGTCTTTTGTCAGTTATTCCGAAAATTCAGAAATATTTCATATTCTCAATGTTACTGTAAATAACATCAATATTTTTGAATTATGGTATTTTAAAAATTCAAACATTCAATTTTAGTTGCAAAGATGTGGAATACATGTGATTTTTGCATATTAATCTTGTAAATAGTAACTTCACTAAATCCATTTTTAGTTATAGCTTTTTAATAGATTTCATTGGATTGTCTACATAGTCATGTCATCTGTGAATAGAGACAATTTTACATCTAGCTTTCCACTCTTGATGCTTTTTATTTCTTTTTCTTGCCTAATGTTTAATAGAAGTGGTAGGGACATCCCTGTCTTGTTCTTGAACTTGGGAGGAAAGCATGTAGCTTCTCACCATTAAGTATGACATTAGCTGTAGGTTTTTGTAGATGTCCTTTATCAGTTTGAGAAAGATCCTTTCTCCTCCTAGTTTGATGAGAGTTTTTTTTTTTATTATTTATGAATGAGTGTTAGATTTTATCAAATGCTTTTTCTGTCTAATGAGGTTACCATCTTGTTTTTAATTTTTAGTCTGTGTTATGCTCTGAATGTTCATTTCCCCCACAAAACTTGTATGTTAAAAATCCTAATCCCCAAGATGATAGTACTAGGAAGTGGGCTCTGTGGGAGGTTATTACAAATGGAATTTATATCCTTATAAAATAGACCCCCAGAAAGCTAGCTAGTTATTTCCAACATGTGAAGACACAGCAAGAGGGGCTATTTATGAGTAGGCCCTCATGTGGCCAAAGCTGCTGTCACCCTGATCTGGAACTTTACAGCCTTCAGAACTGTGAGAAATCAATTTCTAGTTTATGGTGTTTTGTTATAGCATCGCAAATGGACTAAGACAGTCAATTTGCTAATATGGTGAATTATACTGATTTTTTAAATTTTGTTTTGTTTTTTGAGACAAGATCTTGCTCTGTCACCCAGGCCTGAACCTCCTGGGCTCAAGTGATCTTCCCACCTCAGCCTCTTGAGTAGCTGGGACGACAGGCATGTGCTACCCCACTCAACTAGTTTTTATTGTTATGATTATTATTATTTTGTAGAGGTGGGGTCTTGCTACATTGCCAAGGCCAATCTTGAACTCCTCGGCTGAAGCCATCCTCCTGCTTTGGCCTCCTAAAGTGCTGGGATTTTAGGTGTGAACCACTGCACTCAGTCTTGATTTTTTATTGTTAAATTACTCCTACATTCCTGAACTAAGTCATACTAGATATTTTGAATTATCTTCTTTATATACTGTTGGATTCAAGTTATTAAAAGAGTGTACAGAACATTTTAATATGTATGTATAGTTTAAATCTATGTGATTCTAAACACGTTCTATAAATGTGAAATATTGGTATCTGGAGTTTTTTTCGTATAATGTCTTTTTCTGGTTTTGATATTAGGGCAGTGCTGGAGTCATGGAATAAGTTGAAAAGTATTCAATGTCCTTCAATTTTCTGGAAGAGTTTGTATAAAAATGGTATTTTCTCTTTCTTAAATACTTGGTAGAATTCACCAGTGAAGCCATTTGGACACAGTGTTTTCTTGAGGGAAGGGTTCTCTTTAAGAGAAAATATAATTTCTTTACAGGTATATAGCTATTCAGGTTATCTATTTTTTCTTGTATGAGCTTTGATCATTTGTGTTTCTCAAAAAATTTGTCTATTTCCTTTAAGTTGTCAAATTTTTGGCATAGAATTGTTCATGATATCTTTTTATCCTTTTAATATCTGTCAAATCTGTAATGAAGACACCTCTCTCACACTTGATACTGGTAATTTTTTCTTCTCTTTTTTGTTCTTGATGTGTCTAACTCAAGGTTTATCAATTTTATTGATCCTACAGTTAGAGATTTTGGTTTTATTAATTTTCTCTATTGTTATTTTCTATTTGACTTCTTATTTAGCCTTTATGATTTCTTTTTTCTTCTTACTTCAGCTTAATTTTCTTTCTTTTTCCCTGTTTTCTTATAGTATATGTAGTCATTGACTTGAGCTCTTTCTTCTTTTAGAACGTAGGCATTTAGTGCTATACATTCCCCTTCCCAATGCTGCTTAAATGACACCTACAAATTTTGATAAAATCATGCTTTCATTTTTATTCCATTTAAAATACTTTCTAATTTGAAGCAATTCTTGTGCTACTTTTTTTTGTCCAGACTTAGCTAATAAGGTCTGGACCAGCAAGGAGTGAGGATATTCCGGGTGTGTTGGTTCATGTCCACAATCCCAGCATTTTGGGAGGCTAAGCAGGTGAATCACTTGAGGTCAGGAGTTCGAGACCAGCCTGGCCAACATGGTGATACACCATCTCTACGAAAACTACAAAAATTAGCTGGGCATGGTGGTGAGTGGTGAGTAATCCCAGTTACTTGGGAAGCTGAGGCAGGAGAATTGCTGGAACCCAGGAGGCAGAGATTGCAGTGAGCCGAGATCACACCACTGCACTCCAGACTGGGCAACAGAGCAAGACTCTGTCTCAAAAAAAAAAAAAAAAGAAAGAAAAAGAAAGAACACAGGACCCAGCATTAGTCTCTCTGCCTCAGCAAAGATCACGTTGACACAAACCGTAGAACCATCTGACCATGAGGGCATGTAGGTTGGATAATAGAAAAGTATAGGGTGAACATAGTGGAGTTAAAACCCAGGCCCTTACCCTGGTTGCCATTTTTTGAGCATCACATAAGTTTCCCAGATTTGAGATCTCCCAACATTAAATTTACCATCAGCTCAGTAGGATGGAAATTTGGAGTAATTTGCTTAAAAATTTGATTTAAAATGATGATGAGTAAAACGTGTATTTTACACCTGAATTTTCTAAGAAAGTATATACCTAATACCCTCATTCTAGAAATACATTAATTCAATCTCTTAACAAGTATGTTTAAAACTCCTATTATGTGCCAGAAATTATATAAAGTGCTGGGATTACAAATATGTGTAAAATACTCGCTTTGCCATTTGAAGGCTTCACAGTTTGGTAATTATGATTGCAATTAGATGCAATAAGCAATAGAGGCTAATGTGTGAAGCATTAAGACAGAAAAGGAGATAGAACAAATTTCATAGAAGAAATTGTATCAAATTTGGGCAACAAAAACCAAGCAGAAAAAATTACCAGGTGGAATAGATTAGAGGAGACAAGAGTGTTTCAGAAAGAAAAAAACTCCCCTTGAAAGAGCACATAGTGTGAATAAACAGCACTTTTGAGAAACACCATAAGATCTTTGAAGCAGATAGATCTCAGTTTGAATGCCTATTCTACCATTAGGCATGGAACACCTTTGGACCAAGCTTTACTGTTTTTGTTATTCTCTTTTTGAAACAGGGGTACTTACAACCTCCTCATGGAGTTCTTGTGAGGGTGAAAGGAGATGACATACATAAAATCCCAGCCTAACCATTGGCCTTTTACAGGTATTTTTCCCTACCTTCCCAGGCCATCATCAGTATAAATGTACTCTGTTCTAACCTTGTGTGTGACCAGAGGAAAGAGAACATGTTTCCAACACAGGAAATGAAGATGGAAGTGTCTTTAGGGGACAGATTAGAAAAGGCCTTATGTTCCAGCCTAAGAACTACAAACTTAGTCCTATAAAGAATAAAGTATCATTTAAGGCTGTTGAGCAGGGGGTTTATATGATTAAATACTTGTTTTAGAACAGGGAGGACAGGACATACTGGAGGGAGGAGAGCCTGGAAGGCAGGAGGCCAGTTGGAGCTTCCGCACAAGCTGAACACAAGATGATAAGGGCCTACGAGAGAGGCCCTAGAGGTGCGAAAGAAGGGGAATGCTGAAGAGGTATTTGGAGGTAGAAGTGACGGCACTAGGTGACTGACCAAATAAGGGACTGAAAGGAAGCCATCACTGATGACCACATGGTTTCTAGCCTTTAGCCACTGAGAGTGCTAGTATGATTGACTTACAAAGGGAAAGGGAGAAATATGTTTGAAGATTTCCAGTTTTGTTTAGACATATCAAATTTGAGGAGCTTGAAGAAGATCCATGAAAAATAAGTTGTGGTAAGTCAGATGCATATATACTTGGAAATTAGAAGAGCACTGACCCAGAGGAGAAACGTATTTTATCCCTATCTTCACTCCAAGGTATATCAAAATCTGTATGAGACATAAAAAATGAAGAGGCCTGACATTTATTAGCACAGCTTTATGAAAACATCTTCTACCTATCATGTCATTTCAAATCCCAAGATGTAGACCTAATTATTATTAGCTTTTCAGTTTTAGAGATGGAGAAATCATGGATTATGACAGTAAGCTACAACAGCAGAGTTTTTCTTTCAAATATATGCAAACATAATCAACAGAAGAAATACTTTTTTGGGAAAGATAAAATTAATGGTAGTATATCCTTAGACTGGGCAGCAGAGAATTGACTGAATCATAAAATGACAACATTGGTGATTAACAAGGAAAAAAAAGGATGAATACATTGTAAAACAGCCAAGAAATTATATAAGTATACTAAGAAAAATTAAGTAGGCACTACTGATAAGCTTACTAAAACCAAAGAGAATTTAAAATAAGGCCTACATTCAAATATGCTGCTAGGATATTTGTTCATGTGTTCGGTTTTTTATATATTTAACATTTTTTCATTCTCTAATATGTGGCTGGTATTCAACTAAGTGCTGAGGATACAAAGATGAAATAGAAATATTATTAAGTGCTGAGAAATTCATGGTTTGGTGGGAGAAAGACAAAATGGTCATTTGAACTGTGTGGGAACCATTTCAATAGATATGTGTCCAGAAACTTCAGAGCGTACAGAAATGAATGATAGGAAGGGCTTCCTGAAAGAAGTGATGCTTGACTTAAACTTTAAAGCACAAGAGGAAAGCTGGTCTAAGGGTGCAGAGGAAGGAGATGCTAGCAGAGAAGTTGACATAAACAAGGCAGGGAAATGGGAAACACAGTGGTTCTCAAGAGGAATTCTGAATTCTGAGCTGCTTGGTTTGACATGAACAGCAAGAGTTGAGTTGACAGTATACATGAAGGGAAAATCATGAGGAACTTGTTGGCTTCTGTAGCCTCAAGCACTTGCCAGATTACCCAGCTGTTGGGTTGTTGCAGCAAGATGGTGTCCTGAACTAGGGCCACAGCAGCAGGAATGGACACTGAGCACTTTTCCCTTGATAGTTGAAGCACTGGATCTGTTGAATTGAGATGGCTTTTGCCTCAAAGCCTTCAGAAGTGAGTCCTCATTACATTTGAAAAGATTAGATTAAGGCCATTTCAGAAAAATTCTCAAATTCAAGATCAGTAGTCAGGCTTTATGGATTGACTTGTTCGTCTATCTCCCTCAAATTTCTTTTAAGAAATGACAGACACCATTAGAGATTCCCTTCCCAGAAACCTCTGCCTCTGCTGCCACCCCTGTCCCAGCAGCCTCAGGGATACGTATTTCCTGGAAGAACACTTTGCCATCAGAAGTGCTGACTGTCTCTCAGACAACCCTTGGGCCAAACAGGAAATTTACAAGTAAGCCCTCAATATAATTCCCTTTGGTTCCATACCCACGTGTAAAGCATGTAAAATGTTCCCTTCTTCCCTTAAAATCTTTAATAAGCACTTGTTGGGTAACTAAGATAGAAAACAAAATCTATACCATGTTTCTATTCTAGAGTGAAATTCTTATTGAAGCCTACATTATAGTCACATTAATGTCACATTGGTCCTCATGATTAATAATAGTGCAGTGAATGAATTAATAATGATTGGCTACTTCACTAAGGTTTTCCCTCCCCCAACCTTGACATGAAGAGGATCCAGGGCATTGATTATCACAAATATAATGGATTGATTCATCATTTATGGGAAAAGAGTTTCTCTTCCCATAAAGCTTATTTTTCCTCCCCCTCTACTCCCGGAGATATATTATCTTTGGCAGCAACTCAAAACCATCCACAGATTATTCATTGCAGCCAACAATTATAATTAAGGATGGTGATTTGAATACTAGCCTTAAGTGAATGAGTATGTCTCACACAAACTATGTTTCATATAGAAGCTGTACCCAGAAGGATCTTTTCCTCTCTAGTCTCCCCTTGAATGATAACAATTGGATAACATGGTTGCCTTTTGAATAGGATGATCAGTTATGCTGCTGGCTTAAATTGTAGAGGACATATTATCTACTGTATTACCTACTGGAAACCTCAAAACCCATTTAGGAGGTGATATCTTTATACACTTCATCTTACCTTATGGCTACTCATCTTTTCAGCATGTGTGCATTAACTGAATTAACTGTCCAATTCATTCCTTGGGTTTCTTCTATGGCTTTATAGTAAACATCCCTGTTGAGAAGAGTTACACTTTTATCTTGCTAATTGAGAAACAGCCCTTCACCACAATCTATTGTAATTGAAAGCACAGCCCTCAGGATTGCCCTCACATTAGGCCCTATCCTTTGATAGGCTAATATTGGGCTGAAACTTTCACATTTATCTAGCATTAGCTTGCTGTAGCAATTTAACATAATTATGTTTTAATTGCATTTTTAAAAATATTGGCACATTTCCTGCCCATTGACATTTGATCCATATGCAATAAAAGGAATCCAGTGTTAACCTCAAAAATTCTACACTTAAGCTATGCATTAAGAAAATGATGTCTGTTTATTGCCACACTTCACATTGTGTTTTGTATTTTAAGTGTCCTTCATCTACTAACAAGCTCTTGTGGTTTCATAATGAAAAGGTCAATATTTCTTCTCTAGAAAATGTGCTTAAATGGGCTATAAAAGTGGCTATGTTTTACACATGCATACGTGTGATACAGCAAAAATTCAATGTGAGTTCCCACTAGTTCATTTCAACCAGCATTAATAGAGGGCCTACTATGTGCTAGGCTCTGCATTGTTCAAGGCATAGAGGTATATGAAGATGAAAGAAAATGCCTTTGTTTTTGAGGGAAAATAGTAGAAAAATCATTTCAATGGATACATACGATAATAAACATTTTTATAAATATTAATATAGTTCCAAGGTAGGCAAAATAAAGAAGAATTCACAGAGAAAACAAAGCTGGGGAAGGCTTAAACCAGGAGATACTCTGTGATGATTCTCTTTGTCTTTCCACTATGGAAATAAAGATACGGTGATAGAAATTAAACTGCTGCCAAGTACCAACAGGCTTTAGTTGTTTATTTGTTTATCTAGTGTTGTGTGCTTTGTGTAAAGGTTTTAGGTATTCATGGTTTATTAAAGTTCTTTTAGTTCATATGTAGCTTTAACCCCAAAATTCATGTGATATTATGACATCATAAATTTATCCATGAGCTGCCTGTGAGCTCTCCATAACCCTGAACTTGAAAAATTAAAATAGTAAATGACAAGAGAAAGTATTGTGAAAGACACCCTATCTATGTTGATTGTCTCCAAACTAAAGATGCCATGTGATGAGAATTGAAATAGAACACATCTTGTTTAGGATTTTTGTAATTCAAAGGTAACCTACTCATTACAAAATTAAAACCAATGGCAACAAAAGCCAAAATTGACAAATGGGATCTAATCAAACTAAAGAGCTTCTGCACAGCAAAAGAAACTATCATCAGAGTGGACAGACAACCTACAGAATGGGGAAAAATTTTTGCAATCTATCCATCTGTCAAAGGGCTAATATCCAGAATCTACAAGGAACTTAAACAAATTTACAAGAAAAAAACAAACAACCCCATCAAAAAGTGGATGAAGGATATGAACAGATGAACAGACGCTTCTCAAAAGAAGACATTTATGTGGCCAACAAACATGAAAAAAAGCTCATCATCACTGGTCGTTAGAGAAATGCAAATCAAAACCACAATGAGACACCATCTCATGCCAGTTAGAATGGTGATCATTAAAAAGTCAGGAAACAACAGATGCTGGAGAGGATGTGGAGAAATAGGAATGCTTTTATACTGTTGGTGGGAGTGTAAATTAGTTCAACCATTGTGGAAGACAGTGGCGATTTCTCAAGGATCTAGAACCAGAAATACCATTTGACCCAGCAATCACATTACTGGGTATATACCCAAAGGATTATAAATCATTCTATTATAAAGACACATGCACATGTATGTTTACTGTGGCACTGTTCACAATAGCAAAGACTTGGAACCAACCCAAATGTCCATCAATGATAGACTGGATAAAGAAAATGTGGCACATATACACCATGGAATACTACGTAGCCATAAAAAAGGATGAGTTCATGTCCTTTGCAGGGACATGGATGAAGCTGGAAACCATCATTCTCAGCAAACTAACACAGGAACCGAAAACCAAACACCGCATGTTCTCACTCATAAGTGGGAGTTGAACAGTGAGAACACATGGACACAGGGAGGGGAACATCACACACTGGGGCCTGTCATGGGGTGGGGGGCTAGTGGAGGGATAGGATTAGGAGAAATACCTAATGTAGATGATGAGTCAATGGGTGCAGCAAACCACCATGGCACGTGTATACCTATGTTACAAACCTGCACGACTGCACATGTATCCCAGAACTTTAAGTATAATTTTAAAAAAATTTAAACAAAGCATATAAATTTGCTTTGAAGAGCCAGCTTATGATCAAATCCAGGGAGAGTTTGTTTGTAATTACATGGTATGCTACCAGAGAATTACTACTTATGTCATCTGGCTTTTATAACCTGGGGTTGGTTACATAATTCTGATTTTTTTTTTTTACCAACTTATTTTTAGATTCACCCGTATATAATGATACATTGTTTCACATAATACTTTTAAAGAGCTGATGGAAAAATTTATCCCACAGTATTTGGAACATGCAAAACATGATGGCTATATATATACCACTTTTAATATAAAAACCCTCTGTTAATAAGAAATTAAAAAACTAATAAAAACATAAAAAGGTTATTTGGCAGAAATATTGAAAGTAAACAGAGTGATAGGGACTATTACTATCACTCCTGTACTAGAGAAAGAATGTTTCATTTCTGATGCAGAGCTAAACGTTTATCAAAATTAAAAGGAAGAGGGAAAGAAACAGAGACAGAAGAAGAGAGGAAGATGATTTGAAGGACAAGCATGTACATAAGTTTGCTGTTCTGTTGTTTGACTTGCTTGCTTGCTATTTATTTGAAGATTTAAAAATGCAGCTAATATATAACTGCTGTAAAATTTCTAGCTATATTTTATCTCTTAAATTTATCACCTTCTATTTACACCCTACAACTCCTTAGTTTATATCTTCTATTTTTTTTTTTGTAAAAATCTCTTTCCTTAGAACAGCCTCTTTCATTCTCCTGTCTGAATAATCCTTCTAAAACTTAGATCTAAATTTATAATTCCCTGCCTCAAAAACCTTTCAAGGATCCCAGGGAATTTCACCCCAAAATATGGCACAATTGTGTGTTTATTCTTTATTTTATCTTTTTAAAATTGATGCATAATAATTGTATGTATTTATGGAGTACATAGTGTTTCCATGCACAGTGATCACATCAGGGAAATTAGCAAATCCATCATCTCAAACATTTATCATTTCTTTGCCTTGGAAACATTCAATATCCTCCTTCTAGCTATTTGGAACTGTATAGTATATTAACTACAGCCATCCTACAGTACTTCAGAACCCTAGAACTTAGTCTTTCAATCTTAGTGTAACTTCATATCTTTCCACAATTCTCTTTCTATCCTTCCTTTCCCCATACCTTTCCCAGCTGCCAGTAGCCTCTGTTCATTTTAATACTACAAGATCAACTTATTTTTTTGCTTCCACATATGAATGACAACATGTAGTGTTCAGCTTTCTGTTCCTGGCTTATTCCACTTAACATAATGTCCTCCATTTCCATCCATGTTGCCATGAATAACAGGATTTCATTCCTCTTTATGGCTGAACGGTAATCCATTGTGTATAACACATTTTCTTTATCCATTTGTCTGTTGTTGGACACCTAGGTTGATTCCATATCTTGGCTATTGTGAATAGTGTTGCAATAAACCTGGGAGTGCAGATGTCTGTTCAATATACTGATTTTTCTTTCCTTTGGATAAATGCCCAGTGGTGGGATTGCTGGATCATACGGTAGTTCTATTTGTAATTTTTTGAGGGATTACCATGCAATTCTCCACAGTGGTTGTGCTAGTTTATATACCCATCAGTAGCATATAAAAATTCTCTTTTCTCTGCAGCCTAAACAGCATTTGTTATTGTTTTGTTACCAGAGGCAAATTTGTACAGGTCTGCAGCAACTCCATCCTTGCCTCCTCGGAGGAAAGAATTCCACTGAGGGGCAGAAGAAAGTTTAAGGCAGAAGGAGAGACCAAGGCAAGTTGTAGAGCCGGAGTGAAAGTATATTTAGAAGTTTTAGAGTAGGAAAGAAAGGAAGCAAAGTACACTTGGAAGAGGGCCAAACGTGCGACTTGAGAGATCCCAGTGCCCCTTCCAGCCCTTGACTTGGGGTTTTATACATTGGTATGGTTCCAGAGTTTGCATTTCATCTCCCTTGATTCTTCCCTTGGAGCAGGTTGTCTGTATGTGCGGTGGCCTGCCAGCACTTGGAAGGGGCTGCATGTGCAGTGTTTACTGAAGTGCATGTGCTCATTTGAGGCATTTTTCCCTTACCTGTCAAGCGTTCCTAGAGGAAAGTCTTATACTGGTTAAATGCCACCATTTTGCCTTTTAGTGTGTATGCTTGAGCCCTGTCACCCAAATCCTGAGATTTTATGGGGAAACTGTTTATCACCAGCTCCAGGTATTTTGTATCTATTGGGACACTGTCTTCTCTGGTGCTGGCTGTGACAAGTTGTCACTTTAGAGAGACAGTTTACAACCTGACCATCACCTGATGATCACCTGACATTCCTGGGTGGGTGGTGTGGCAGGTGTGGAGGAGGGGGTGTTTCTTCCTGCCCTGCTCAGGTCTGCCTAACTGCTTAGTCTAACAGTTTGTCTTTTTTATAGTAGCCATAATAACTGGGATGAGATACCTCATTGTACTTTGGTTTGCAATTCCCTGATGATTAGTGATGTTGAACACATTTTTTTCATATATTTGTTGGGTATTTGGATGTCTTCTTTTCAGGAATATCTGCTAAGATAATTGTCCATTTAAAAAAATTGAATCATTTCCTTTTTTGCTGTTATTTGAGTTCCTTGTAAATTCTAGATATTAATCCCCCATCAGGTGAACAGTTTGAAAATATTTTCTCCCATTCTTTAGGTCAGCTTTTCACTCTGCTGATTGTTTCCTTTGCTGTGCAGAAGCTTTATCATTTGATTCCATTAGTTTATTTTTGCTTTTGTTGCCTATGCTTTTCAGGTATTATTCATAAAATATTTTCCCAGGCCACTGTCCTGAAGTGTTTCCTCTATGTTTTCTTCTAGTAATTTTATAGTTTCAGGTCTTATATTTAGGTCTTTGATCCATTTTGAATTGATTTTTTAATAGGATAAGAGGTAGAAGTCTAGTTTAATTCTTCTGCATACAGATACCCAGTTTTCCCAGCACCATTTATTAAAAAGACTGTCCTTTATCCAAAGACTGTTCTTGGCATCTTTGTAACAATTTGTTGACTTTAGAAACATGGATAATTAAACTCTGTTTCATTGGTCTGTATGTCTGTTTTTATGCCAATATTATGCTGTTTTGGTTACTACCGCTTTGTAGTATATTTCAAAGTCTGATAGTGTGATGCCTCCAGCTTTGCTTCTTTTCCCCAGGACTGCCTTGGCTCTTTGGGATCTTTTGTGGTTCCAAATAAATTTTAGGACTTTTTTTTTTCTATTTCTGTGTAGAAAGTCCTTGGTATTTCGAAAGGGATTGCACTGAATCTGTAAATTATTTTGGGTACCATGGTCATTTTAATAACATCCATTCTTCCAATTCATTAGTGTGGGATGTCTTTCCTTTTGTTTGTATCCTCTTCAATATATTTCATCAGTGTTTTGTAATTTTCCTTGTAGAGGTCTTGCACCTACTTGGTTAAATTTATTCCTAGGAATTTTATTTTTGGTAGTTACTGTAAATGGAATTGCCTTCTTAATTTCTTTTTTAGCTAATTTGTTGTTCTTTATAAAAGTGCTACTGATTTTTATATATTGATTTTGTATCCTGCAAACTTGCTGAACTTATCAGTTCTAAGAGTTTTTTGGTAGACTCTTCAGGTTTTTCTATATGTGAGATTATGGCATCTGCAAACAGGAACAATTTGACTTCCTTCTTTCCAATTTTGATGCTCTTCATTTCTTTCTCTTGCCTAATTGCTCTGGCTAGGACTTCTAGTGCTATGCTTAGTAAGAGTGCAGAGGGTAAGCATCCTTGTCTTGTTCCAGTTCTTAAAACATTTTTGGCTTTTCCACATTTAGACCACTGTTAGCTGTGGGTTTGTCATATCTGTCCTTTATTATTTTATATACAGAAGAGAAGTATTGAGACTCTTCTATATATAATTTCTTGAGAATTTTTATCATGAAGGGATACTGAATTTTATCAAATGCTGCTTCTGTACCTCTTGAGATGATTATATGTTTTTTGTCCTTCATTCTATTGATATGACATATGTAATGTATTGATTTGCATATATTGAAACATTCTTGTATTTCTGTGATAAATCAGAGTTAATCATGGTGTGTTATCTTTTTGATGTATTGTTGAATTTGGTTTGCCAGTATTTTTTTTTTTTTTGAAGATTTGTACAACTGTTCATCAGGGACACTGGCCTATAGTTTTCTTGTGCGTGTTTGCGCATTCATGGGTGTGCCTGTGTGTGTGTGTGTGTGTGTCCTTGTTTGATTTGATATCAGGGTTCTACTGGTCTTACAGAATGAGTTAGGAAGAATTCCCTTTGTTCCTATTTTTTGAATAGTTTGAGAAGAATTTATATGAATTCATCTTTAAAGGTTCAGTAGAATTTGGAAGTGAAGCAATCTGGTCCTGTAATTTCTTTTCTGGGAGACGGTATTACTGATTCAATCTTATTACTACTTACTGGTTTGTTCAGGTTTTCTATTTCTTCTTGGTTCAATGTTGGTAAGTTGTACTTGTCCAGGCACTTACTGATTTCTTCTAGGTTTTTGAATTTATTGGTGTGCAGTTGTTTATAGTAGCCTCTAATAATCCTTTGTACTTTGTATTTTTGTGGTATACATTGTCACATTCTGGTTTTATTTAGTTAGGTCTTTCTTTATTTCTCAGTTAATCTACCTAATGGTGTGCCGATTTTATCTTCGTAAAAAATCCTTTTTGTTTCTTTTTTTTTTTTTCAGACAGTTGCACTTTGTTGCCCTGGCTGGAGTGCAGTGGCACAATCACAGCTCACTGCAACCTCGACATCCTTGGGTCAAGTGATCCTCCCACCTCAGCATCACAAGTAGGTGGGACTACAAGCACACACTGCCATGCCTAGCTAATTTTTTTATTTTGTAATTTTTTTGTAGAGACAAAGTCTCCCTATGTTGGCCACGCTGGTCTCAAACTCCTGGGCTCAAGCTATTCTCTTGCCTCGGCCTCCTAAAGTTTTGGAATTACAGGCATGACGCACTGCACCCAGCCTCATTTATCTTTTGTATTGGTATTTTAGTCGAAATGTTCTTTATTTCTGCTCAGTTTTTCATTAATTCCTTCCTCTTACTAATTTTGGGTTGTTTTGTTCTTGTTTTTCTGATTCCTTGAGATGCATCATTAGGTTATATGGAATCCTTCTAGTTTTCTAGTTTTCTGTTATAGGCTTTTGTTTGTATAAACTTGCCTCTTAATACTGCTTTTGCTGTGTTCTATAGGTTTTGGTATGTTGTGTTTCCATTTTCATTTGTTACAGGCATTTTCTAGATTTTATTATTAGTTTATTTCTTCAGTTGTTGGTCATTCAGGAACATGTTGTTTAATTACTATGTATTTGAATATTTTTGATTGTTTTTCTTGTTATTAATGTTTAGTTTTTTTTTCCTTATGGTCAGATGAGATACTTGATATAATTTCAAATTGTAAAAAAATTTTTGAGATTTGTTTTGTGTCCTAACATATGGTTAATACTGAAGAATGTTCCATTTGCTGATGAGAAGACTGTTTATTCTGTGGCTGTTGGGTAAAATGTTCTGTAAATGTATGTTAGGTCTATTTGGTTATAGTGCAGTTTAAATCTGATGTCTCTTGCTTGATTGTCTATCTAGATGATCTGCCCAATGCTGGGAATGGTATGTTGAAGTCTCCAAGTATTACTGTATTGAAGTCTATCTCTCCCAAACAACATTTGCTTTATATAACTGGATGCTCTTGTGCTGGGTGCATATATATTTACATTTGTGATATTATCTTGCTGAATTGGTTTTATTGTATAAGCCCTTCTTTGTCTCTTTTTACATAGTTTTAACTTGAAGTCTGTTTTGTCTGATACCTTTCTAGCTGATACTGTTCACTTTTGGTTTCTGTTTGCATAAAATATCTTTTTTCATCCCTTCACTTTCAGTATATGTGTATCTTTACTTGAAGTGAGTTCTTGTAGACAGCATATAGTTGGGTCTTGTTTTGTAATCCATTCAGCCAGTCTATATCTTTAAATGGAGAATGTTTACATTCAAGGTTATTATTGGTAGGTGAGGATTTACTCCTGTCATTTTATTGACAATTTTTTGTTTGTTTTATATATCCTTTATTCCTTACTTCCTCTCTTATTGTTTAATTTTATTGTTGGGTGGTTTTCTCTAGTGATGAGGTTTTATTCCTCTCTTTCTCCTTCAGGTCTCCTTCTTTCTCCATCAGGTCTACTGGTGAGTTTTATAGTTTTGAATGTTTTAAAGTTGGTGGTGATCATCATTTCACTTTTAGACATAAGAATCCCTTGAGCATTTCTTGTAAGGTGGTCTAGTAGTGACAAATTCCCTTAGTTTTTGCTGGTAAAAGATTTTATTTCTCTTTCATTTGCTGGGTAAAATACTCTTGGCTGCCAGTAGTTTTTCTTTCAGTACTTCAAATACATTAAACTGTTTACTTCTGGTCTATGAGGTTTCTGCTGATAAATCCTCTATTAGTCTAATGGGGATTCCCTTATATATGATTTGATGTTTTCTCTTGCTGCTTTTAGAATTCTTTGTCATTTACTTTTGACAATTTGACTATAGTTTACCTTGAGAGGACTTGTTTGGGTTGAATCTATTTGGAATTCTTTTAAATTCCTGGACTTGGATGTTCATCTCTCTCCCAAAATTTGTGAAGTTTTCAGCTGTTATTTCATTAAATATGTTTTGTACACCTTTTCTCTTCTCCTTCTAGACACTCATAATATGAATATTCATTCTTTTAATGGTGTCCCATAAATCCTGAGGGTTTTCTTCATTCTTATTCTTTCTTTTTCTTTTCTTTTATATTTATTATTTATTTATTGTCTGCCTGTGTTATTTCAAAAGACTTATCTTCAAGTTCTCAAATTCTTTCTTCTGCTTGGTCTAGTCTGTTGTGAAAACCCTCAATTGTATTTTTTATTTGATTCATTGAATTCTTCAGGCCTAGGATTTCTGTTTGGTTCTTTTTTATAATATCTATTTCTTTGTTCAATTTCTCACTCAAATCATGAATTATTTTCCTGATTTCATTGGATTGTCTATCTGGATTCTCTTGTATCTCACTGAGTTTCCTGAAGACTATTTTTTGTATCCTTTTTCTGACATTTCATATATATTGTGATTGGGGTCTGTTATGAGAAAATTATTGTTTTCCTTTGAAGGTGTCATGTTTCCTTCCTTTTCAATGTTTAATATGTCTCTACTTTAATTTCTATGCAACTGGTGGAAAGGCTACCTCTTTCAATTTCATAGAATAGGTTTCATAGGGAAAGCCTTATTCACATGAATGGGTCTTGGAATATCAATATGTTGGGATGTGTTGGCCTTTGTTCTACTTGGATGTAGTAGTATAGTTTCTTCAGCTGTAATTCACAATAGTGACATTTGCAAGTGTCTCAGTGGCCAAGCTGAGAATTTGCAGTGGTGGTAGCATAGCTTTGCTGGGCTGTTTCTCAAGTCAGGAGTGCATTCATGCACACAGTGGGTTGGCTGACTTGGTGTGTGGCTTGCTGGGGTTGGGCCCATGACACTGTTACTCTGGCCAAGTACACAAACACATAGTTGCTTGGATACCCTGGACGTGCCTGCCAGGAGTGGCCAACAGGGCTGTTTCTCAGGCCCAGGGAATGTGTACGAGCTGCTCGGCCAGTCTAGGGGCATGTTTGCCAGAGGTAGCCTATGAGGCTATTTCTCAGGTCCAGGATGCAGATACAATGCTGCTCCTCTGGCCTGGTGGCATGCCTAAAGAGTAGCCTATGGGGCTGCTTCTAAGCCCGGAGAAGCAGGTGGAGGTTGCTTGGCTGGCCTGGAGGTGAGTCTGCTGGGGATGGTCCATGGGGCATTTCCCAGGCCCAGTATATGGGCACAAGGCTGCTTGTTTGGCCTGAGCACTGGCCTGAGCCAGTGCTGAGCCATTATTCTTCTTCTGATTGTTTTAAATTAAAGGCCCTTGAGGTTCAGAAGGAACTGGAAGAGATTGTAGTCTGATATTCCCTTATCTATCTTAAGACTAGAAATGCCAAAAAGAACACAATTGCCTTTTATTCCCTCCTTGAAACTTCATTATCTAGAGAGGAAAAGAAGACTGAAGAATGCAGACAAATAGACTTTTTAACAGGACAATGTCTGCTTCTTGGACTCAATTAAACTCCAAAGAGAATCATTTACATGTTACTTTCTTTCATGTCCATTCATTTTCTCTAATAATCATATATTACTCCTCAAAAGAATTGCTTACAGTTTCCATCTCCCTGCTCCCCTATGAAGAAGGGTGTATAAGCATCTAAACCTTGTTGGGTTACTGGGATATCAGTCTTCTGTAATTCTCCCATGCTAATGCACTTTAATTAAATTGCATGCTTTTTTTCCCTGCTAATTTGTCTATTTTCAATTCATTTCAACAGACTTAGACTAAAACCTTCAGAGGGAAAATTTGAGTTTTTCTACACCTTCAATAATTCTCCATGGCTTACCAAATTAAACGCAGGTTCTTCATGCAGGCCTTCAGAATCCTCAGCTTTACATCCTCGACCAGACTAACTTCCCACTGTTTTTTTCAGCTCGTAACTGACATTCCTTCCTTACTGCATGATCCATTTTTCCACTGAACATGCTCTACAGTTTTGGTCCTGAACTTTGTGTTTATACTATTTTCTCCACATGGAATATCCTCCCCACCTTCCAGTTTCTCCTGGTTGAAAATCCACCCGTTTTCAAGCTTATCTTCACATGCCATTACAAATCATCTAACCGGTTTCTTAATAAACGTTTTTCTCTCTCTCATTTGAACTCTCAGGGTATGTAGCACCTCTGTTATGGCATTTGTTTTCATGCATGTGCTGATTTTTGTCTTTACAACAAGGACTTGTGTCCAACAATAAGGAAATAGAGGTAAGTCACAGATTCTGACTTAACTTGCTCATAACTTCCCAGTAGAAGTGGATAAGCACACAGGTGCCCATCACATAGTGTGATAAGTATTGTGGTAAGTCCAAATTCCTTGCGGGGGGTGGGGAATGAGAAAGGATGAACAGCAAATTCTCAGACTCAGTGATTTGAGAAAGACTTCCTGAAGCAAATGGCATAAGTTGGAGCTTAAAATCTGTGTAGAATTTAGCAGGGTCAGAAGAAAAATGTCGCTTTAAAATAGGTTAAATGCCAAGGCCATAGTGGTGGAACACTGGGCTGCTGAACTGGGTTGTGTTGCTTTACAGGAAAGGATCATGAAAGAAATATTCAAGAATTTTAAGATCCAGTTGTTAAGACTGTTGATAACTTGAAACCAACCATGCTGGGAGAATTTACACCACGGACATTGGCGAATACTATAAATCAGGGCTGTTTCGTTTATTTTCAGAGAGCCAGTGAACCAGGACATCACTGGCTGTAAAAGTGCATGAGAGGTTCAGAGAATTACAAGTGGCTTAATGTTCTACTCTAGTTAGCAAATTATATACCAAAGTTAACCCTTTGACTAGATTGTTAGCCTTCTAAAGGAAAGACTGATTCCTTATCCATTCTGAATTTCTCTGGCTACACCTCCAACAAAAGCAGGTAGGTACTTAACTTAGGCCATCAATTAATATAGATTAGAGAAGAATCACTTCAGACATAAAAATATGCTTCTTAAAATTTTGGTTAAATGTATTTGCATTTCAATGCTTGTGTTTACTTTATCTCTCATAATGAAAATAAACATATCTTGAAATAGTGTAGTTTAGAAACAGTTATCTACTCAGAAGGGGGCTAAGGGATTATTTTAAAGTGGTATTTATACAATAGGTTTAGTTTTTACTTAGAACTATTTATCATATTTTTCTAATAATTTTTCTTTTATTTCTACATTTTAGCTAAGATTGAGAAAAGATCAGTTGCCAAAATTAAGAAACGGTATGCCATTAAGAAGGAGGCTTTAGAAAAGATAATTTCAAGGAGAATCAAAAGTTCTCTTATACTTGACTCAAGTTCTCTGTTTATTCCACTGTGCACATCCTACTCCCAACCACTGGCCTGGTTGACTACAGAACCCATTTGTAATATTTGGTGAAAGGAGAAATAAATTATGAATAATAACCACCATTTATTAAGCATTTGCTTGGTGCTAGGTACTACTCTAAATCTTTGTATAACTACTTTATTTAATGTTCATAAGTACATTATAATCCTTTATTTACAAGAGGAAACTGAGACTAACAGGTTAGGCAACTCTCAAAGAGCTTTGTAATAAGAAATGGCCAAATGACTGATAGAAATAAATAAATAAAATCCCTTTCATACTTGTTTGAATATAAGCTAACTTCTTCATGATATATTTTATAAACAGACAATCAAGTTGATTAGAAATCAGGAAACGAAGTAGTTTACTGAATTTTCTGATTAACTGTTAAAAACAATTCTTAATTTAAATTTTGGTTTCAAATTTTCTAAAACAGAGCCATACTTAATTTCCTTTGCAAAAATAATAAGAGATTCAACATGTGATTTTTTTCATCTTTGGGGAATTTTTTTAGCACCTCTAGGTCACCATCTAGTTCAGTGTAGGTAGAAGAGATTTAGGTGAAACTATAGTAAACTAAGAAAATATGCCAGCCATTTCAACATATTTGTTTTATTATTTTTTTGTTTATTTTTTCCCTGAAATTTGGAGTAAAATGTAATGGTTTATTTGATGTATCAACTCAGATTCTAAGTAGTTAGGTTTTGATTATATATTTTAATATCTTAATATTATCCTAACCTACTGGGTAGAGTTTGTATCACTAGGCAGTATGACTAGATTAAGTCAGTAGCCTGGCTTGGTGACTGAAACTTACCTGATGTCTCTTCCATGCGTCTCCAGTTCCAGAGCCACCATTTGAATGGCATATTTTCAAGAGCAAGAACAATTTATTTGTTGATTCCTTAGGTGTTTTCTTTCTTTTACAACATGAAGAACAAAAGTTGTTCATGGTATCTTTATTGTTTTTTTACCCAACCCATATATACCCCCAACTAAAATACTTAGTAGATTATGTCCAATAAACAATTCTATTTATCTTTAGTGTATGTAAGAGTCATCTGTCTTAGAAGTTTCTCTGACTAATTGTTAAGAAAGTCAAGATTATCCTTTCTTGATCCCATCCAACATTTCCACCTCTGGTAGATTGCATTATTATCCCCAAACCTTCTCTATACTTCCTGTGAAAATAGTATCCATCTTGTTCATTTCCAAGTAATCCACAGTGCCTATTGCAGGGGATAGGGAGTTGGGTAGCGTATTTCTCACCAGATATCAGGATTGGCCATATGACTTACCTAGACAATGACGTGTCAGCAGAAACCTTAAGAGCCAATGCATGGTTCTGGTAGTCCTCTAGCAAAAGAAGGCATTTTGCAGAGAGAAGGTGCTCCTTCAGCAGGACTGGGAAAGAAAATAAACCTCTAAGCAGAACAGTTCAGCTGAAATAGTCAGCTGTCTTTCCAGCCAATATTCAACTTAAGCAATTGTTAAACTGTTGTTGTTGTAAGCCTCTGAGATTTGAAGATTTTTTTTACCTCAGTGTAACCTAGAAAGCTGACTTGTACACCATGTAACATGCCAAGAAAACCTACATAAAATTAATCAAAGAGAGTAGGTCCATCTCTTCTCTCTCATCATTGTTACCTTCCAGAGATATATGGCCACACTGAACTCTAATTAAAGTTTATTTTTCTTTTCCTATGTGAATGAATGGAAACTTAGGCATTAGAAGATGGTAATCTCATAAACATGGGGAATCAGCATTAAACATTGTATCTGTAACTCTTTTGTAAATTCTTTGCAAGTAGTTTCTCTTACAAGTTTTCCAATGACAGTAGAAACATTTTCCACATTCTTAGGAATACTTGGGATAGTTATAAAGTCCTGAGGACATAAGCTTCCTCAAGAGACCTTCACTTTCTCTTCTGGGAGACTTTATGCACACCACCCAGGAACACAGAGGTTCTTCATTTTGTTTCTCATCTTCAGAAGAGGGTCCTTTCGTAATATATTGGCTTTAATTTCATGAGTATAGACTTCTTGCTTCTACTGACTCTAGATCTAGTTACTGTATCTAGTTGCTGAGATGTTTGCCCCTTAAGACTATTCTCCTGCTTGGAAATTATAGCTATAAACTGATTAAGGAAGCCACCCTCTCTTCTCTTAAAGATAGGCTTAGTTATTACTTCAGAAACAATGTGATTACACAAGATTAGCTAGATTAATCAATGCTTTACAAGGTTAGTGAGCTCTCCTAAATTAGATAGTGCCTTAGCTACTTCCTCATTTTGAGCACTGCCAAACTAATTCAACTATTGTTGCTTTTTTTTTCCCTAAAAATCCAATTCTTATTACTAAATGTGACTCCCACCCCCACCAATCCACCTTCATTTGTGATTTGGGAAGGTTGATATTTTTTCTGCTCCGTCCTGAAAGAACTGACAATGTAGTTATTCTGTTAAAAGAATGGACCCTAGTCCTCAGACCTCTGGGCTTTCCTTTGGTCTTCCCCCACCCCGTACCCCGCCACCAGACTCTCAGTCACAGTCCACCCTATAGCATGTTAATGGTACTCCATCTGTTGAACCATAACAGGGCAAATGTTGATCACCCTTGAACTTTAAAAATATCAGACACTGCTAGTATAATAACAAACAAAATGAGATACAATTTCAGCTTTGGTTCTCAACTCCCCTCACCCTTAAACATTTGATCTAGGAATTACTTTTTCCTGAAAGAGTTTTCTGTCACGTTTTTCTTTGAATATAGGTTGTACTATCCCTATAATTGTGATCTCTTTCAAGGAGCCACTCGAAAACAATTGCTCTAACATGTTATATATACCAAGATATATATTTTTTTCATAAAGGATTGCTTAATTTTTAAGATGAGGTTTCTTTTTTTAAGTCACTTATCTTTGATTTTATTTATTCTAAAAACCTGGCAACTTATTTTGGGAAATACCAGCAAAGCTGGATTTTGGAATCATATTCCTTCACATATGGTACTAATATATCTCTGTCTTTGCCTTCATGCAACACAGCAACAGATGTCTAACATTTCTGGTTTTTAATAGGCCTCTGATCTCAGGAAGGTCCTTTTTTGGAATAGGCAATGGTATGTTTTTAAAGCTACAGCTCATTTGCAAGATTGTGTTTTACAAGATTTGTTTTTACTAATGATGTAAATTTCACCCTTATTCTGAGATTTTCTTAACACATAAGCTAGCAGTAAATTTGCCTGGTGTAGAGATAGGCACTTGCATCATTAAAAGGAAAGCCTTTTAACATTAATAGACTTAACAGGAAAGATCAGCTTTAACTCTACCTGTAAGTAAAATATTGTGACCTGTGGTCATGAGTTTTTAATTGATACAGCCTATTTTAACTTTTCACAGATGTCCTATTGGAACAGCACTTTAAGATACATTCTGACAACTTCAGTTAAGTAGTTTTGGTTCAGGATCTGTAAAGGAGAGAGTAAAGGGGTAAAGAGTTCTTGTTCAGTGAACTTATTTAGTGGAAAGTTGGATTTGATTTTCACCATGGGGAGTCACAATGAAAATTGCTACTGAAATAGTCCTTTATTATAGCATTTCAGACCTAGTTGAAAGGAGATGAATCACACAGGGAAACTTTAGTTCACATGTGGTCTGAAGGGATAGACTGCAAGGGACAATACCATGATTTGTATTAGTGGATGTTAAAAGGAGCTTTGATTATAGCCTGTTAATAATTTTATGGTGATCTACTATGCAGTCAAGATTTACATAATTATATCACATTAAAAATGATGATGAAAAATAACTGTATCAGAAAACTTTCTGCTTAACAAACACAATATTTAAAAATGAGATAATTCTCTAAATACATTCAAAAGGTTTAGGCTACAGAGACCAAAGGACTATGCCTACTTGAGCATCATCATAGTGGTTTATATGTTTAGCAGTATTGGTTATTGTGAAATAAGAATGGAATGGGAAAATTCTTTAAATAAAAAAATTAATAATTTAATCAAAAGCTTCATTTTGAAAATATTTTAGAGCAAACACAAGCTTTGTGGAAAGATGCTTTTCCAGACAATTATTTTGTGTTTCTTAGTTTTCCAGTTTTTAATTAAGTAAGATAAACACTTAAATCCAACTGTTTTGTGCTTAATATTTCAATGGCTACTTTAAACAATTCAAATGACTAGTTCAATAGGAATGATGACTTTTGGACATTGAGGAAAGAAGTCCATGTGGGTGTGCACCTGCAGGTGCACGTGTGTGTGTATTCATGTATGTGTGTGTCTGTGTATTGTGTAGCATTCATTTAAAAATAGAAACATTCTGGAGAAATCAATTTTTTTTTAGTGTGCAAAATCATGGGAGTGGGGAGTACAAGGTATTTGGAAATCTTTCAGGAAACAAACCTGTTTAATCAAAGATCAAGCAGCTTCGAGCTAAAAGAATAGCGACATTCAATCTGTTCTAATTTTCAGATCTCCCATCATCAACCGAGATTTTTTAAAATGAATTAAATAAGAATATAAGGGAGGTAATTATATCAGTCTACTTTACTTTGGTGCAAAAAGCAATAAAATAACCTCGTCAAGTTTATACGTTGGTTTGTAAAATTCTATTTGCCTTTATTAACCAGTGCTTAGGGCTAATTTCTCAGGCAAGATCATAATTTTATCCATTCCTCATGCTGTGCTTTCATCAGGGGCTACATTGAGAGGCTAAGAAATGTCATACTTAAGAAGGCTATGAGGAGGCTGCTGTTTTGATTGTTTTTGATGTGCCTTAATTGTCACCCCCAAAAAGTATATTTTAATAACCTTTGTCATTACTGAACAAAAGGGATTTAAATTCTACCATAAAGAGCTTTCTTCAATGTCAAACATCTGTTCTAAAACTTATCATAGCAATATACTCACTTAACTGCATGAACAAATTTGATTAGCATCAACTTCTGGGAATGGTTTCTAGCTGATTGACCTGGGGACCTTATCTTTAAATATTGGCATTGTATGGATTAGCCAAAATCCAGGAGAATGTCAGATATTAAGGCACATAATTGCAGGTTAATTGGAAGATAAGGATACTTTAATCTAATGTGAACAGGGGGAAATATTGATGGTATTAACTTATTAGCTTGGCTGAGGGAAATAATCTTATTATCGTAAAGAGGACTAAGGTAGTGCTGTCTTTTTGTAAATGATTCTTTCCTGAGAAGTTTCTGTAATAAACACTTTGAATCTCTGACTGTAAATTTTTTTTAGGTTGTTTCTTTTTTTTTTCTGGTGCTCCCAGCCACATAGTAATGACCTATATAAATTAAGGAGGTCTCAGAAAAATCAGAATTTCTTAGGTTTCAGGGAAATACAAATAGTGGTGCTTATGTAATGTAATAACCCCCTTTTTTGTCCATACTCAAGGAACATAGTACATATTACAATTTATAACAGTAATACTTTGGGCATATTCATGTATTTGTTGGCTTTCAAATGCCAAAAAGATTCTGGTTTAGGGAAATGGTAAGAGACATGGAGACAAAACAGAAACTTTTGAAATCTGGAGGAGATGTTCAGTATTTTAAATTTTATGCTAAGTTCTTGATGCTTTAGTTTTAGACACTCTTCAAAACACCACTCTTCAAAACTCACATTTACATAAAGTTACTGGAGTAGGGTAGTGGAAAGTAAAGAGAAAATTCACTTTTTTTCTAAGCACCTACTAAATGTTAGTCACTTTATGACTTCGAAGGGGGGAGATGGGTGTTATTAAACATCCTTTCAGACCATGGAAGTGGGCTTAAGGGAAGTCAAATAACTGCTCAAGGGCTCGCAACTATAAAGGGGAAAGTGGCCTGTTTCTCAGGGTTTCCCATATTATGAATTTATGTGTGAGATAAAAGTTATGTGCCCAAGACACAGTCATCTCCAAATTCCTTTCTCTATCAGCTCATTCTCATCTCCTTCTTCACCCTTGGTAGCTTTCTCTATTGGGATATGAGTGACAAAACAAAAGAAGAAGTGTTGTTAGCAGTGGTGACCTAGTAAGTCTCAGGGTAATAGCTTCAAGCGAGGGAAGCAATACTTTCTCACTTTCTGCAGATTTTCCTGATGATTATGGCTCTGACATGGATTAGTGATGTAAATTTAGACAGCTATAGTAACTTACTTAAATCTCATTTCCTATGAAATGTATATGTGCATGTGTGTAGGGGGAAGGTGGGCAATGAGAGTTGTTGCCATTAGTGAAGAATGCTAGGAATTTCAAGGATGGGATCTGTATGAAAACCAACCAACCAACCAACCAATTCCCCAGATTCTGAGGCATCAGTAATTTTGTATATGAGTTTGGAAGGATGGTTTCCTAGCTTATCTCCGCCAATGCTAAAATCATAATTCTGGTTTTCAAAATTTGGGTAATGAAACTATTTCTACTGGGTTAATCACATCAGTTCTTCTGCCAATCTCAGACCCATGGCAATACCCCACTGTTAAGAGGTGGAAGGAATTACAATGGGAATATTCTGGATTTATGATACTTCAAAATCTGAAATTTTTATAGCTAAACCATTTTTAAAATGCTGAAAACTTAATGCGTCTCAACTGTGACACATATATGCTTTTCTGATTTGTCTCCACCATTTTTGAGCACTTCCTTATTCTACAACACAAGATATTTCACACTCATTTTGTAATTGCTCAGCTTTGGAATCAGCCATTTTCCCAAGGAGAACCTCTTCCTTAAATGGAAGATGATACTTAGAAACCAAAATCTGGGCATGGAATATGCTTATTGGTACTGATTGCTGCTGTGTATGTCTCAGTGAACAGAGCTAGGAATATATGTATGTATACACATACACACATACATACACAAATATATATCCATCTATACACCTCTCTATATGTGTCCCACACATATCTATATCTATGTCTATATCAATCTACATGTGTAATAGATCAATTGATCAATAAACGGATAGAATATACATAGATTGATAGAGAAATACAGATGTGTGTTGGTGGATATATATGGACAAGTGTTTATACACGCATATATTGAATAGACATGTATATGTATATACATGTATATTAACACATACACATACATACATATATATACATATAAGTGTAATCATGAGTTCATTCTGATAACTCCAATTCCAATCCAGTTCCACAGGGCTTATTCTAGTCTTCCTGCTTTCCAAATCTGTAAATTTCTTTTGGACAATGGGAAATCTGTTTCTTATTATGCACAACATATATACTTATTTTACTAAATCCTAGATTACACAGAAAGTAATTTCAAAATTGCTTACTGTTACCTTTGTGGGGGAAAAGAAAACTACAATCAGAATTCAACATTTGTTTACAATTCTTTTTGTCTTTAGCTTGAGCATATTTAATCCAAATGCCATTGCAAAAATAACGTGTTAGTCCACTCCCTCCTGTTCACTGTAGTTATGCTATTCAAATGAAATCAAGTTTGTTTCATTTGGTTCTATTTATATTTTATTTTAGGGAATTTCCCCCATTCTTTTTGATGATTTTTAATGAGATATTTTTCATGTGGTTCCACAAGTTAGAACTATTTCATTAAGCATATTCAGAGAGGGGCCTGTCAACTTTCTCATTTTTTTCCATGCCAATACTGCTCATTTCCATCTGCCCATAGAAGTACACCATATCATTAATTTTTAACTTGCTGTTACTTTTGCGTATTATTTTATTTCACTTTTTTTCTTGCATTCCTTTTTGGTTGGTTTTTAAATTTGCTTATCATAATATAATAAGATAAAATAATATAGCTATTACTCATTCTTTGATACAGTTACATAGAGTATTCCATGGAAATGCTGCAATTATTTATTCAGCTACTATCCTATGTATAGCATTCACATTGTTTATAAATATTTTCAAACTACAAACAATATTCAATAAGTAGTCTGTGTATATGTGTTTATATATATGTAGAGGTATATCTTTTGGCTAAATTTCTAGAAGTGGCATTGCTGGATCAGATATAGTAAGTTTTGATAGCTATTGCCATATTCCTCTTCATAATGGATATTAATATCCCCACCAGAAAATTTTAAGAGTGTCTGTTTTCCCCATAGCCTGTCTAATGGAATGTGTTGTTATACTTTTTAATTTTTATTCCTCTGATAAATGGAAAATGGTGTCTCTATGATTTTAATTGCTTTCTCTTATGAGTGTGATTGACTATCTTTCAATATACTTAAAGGCTATTTAAATACATACTTTTAAAATTGTCTCTTTATATTTTTGCTTATTTGTCTATTAAGTTTTTTATCTTTTTCCTCAATTTTTAAAATTTATACTTCTAATAGCAGTATATAGAAATTTTCATTAACCACATTAGAGCCAACATTTTTATTGTTAAGCTAATTTTTGTCAGTCTAGAGAGTGTGCTTTTAACTTATATTTTTCTAGTTACTTATGAAGTGTGTTGGCTTTCTGTTTTCTTTGTTGTTGTTTAGGGAAGTGTCTATTCAGGTCTTTTGTACATTTTTTATTTGATTGTCTTTCTCATAATGATGCTAATGAATTTATAATGAATTAGAATTCTTTAAATATTCTGGATTCTATTCATTTGATTTTTACCATGCCGCAAATATTTTCTCCAAGTCTTTTTACTGGCATACACTGATGACCCAGAAGTTTCTGTTTTCATATGGTTGAAAATGTCATTTTCCCTTTTATTTAGCAGTTTTTACATCTTGCTTAAGAAATCTTTCTTTACCCTGAGGACAGAAATATATTCTCCCTTATTGTCCTCTAAAATTTTCATAGTTTTGCCTTCAAAATTTAACGTTTAATTCACCTGGTGTTGATTTTCAGCTATCTGATAATATGGAGATCAAATTTCTTTTTTTCAACATGGATAACCAGTTGTCTCAATGCCATTTACTGAAAAGTCTGTACGTCCCCCACTCTCCTGCAATACTAACTGGACCATAAATGAAATGATTACATCTCTATTTCATTTTAAGATTTTCTACTCTGTTAAATTGATATGTCCCTGCATAAGTAGTACATTGTTTAAAGAGTACAATATTAGTTTAAGGTTGGATATCTGCTAAGACTACTTCCTCTATCAAGTCTTTTTCTTCAGGAGGAATGTGCTATTTTTGTTCCTTTGTTCGTCCTCATAAACTTTAGATCAGTTTTTAAGTATCTCCAAGTCTCTTTCTCTTGCGTTCTCTCTCGGCATTCTCTCTTTCTCACGCACACGCGTGCGCACACACAAACACATACACATACACACACCCACAAACACACCCTGTTGGCGTTTTGACTGGGATTAAATTGAATCCATAGATCAATTTGGAGAGAATCGACATCTTCACAATATTGAGTGTTGTGATCTCAGAACATGATATCTCTCTTCATCTTACCTTCTTTCAATAAAGTTTATATTTTTCTCCATAGGGGGCTTACAAAGGCTTTGTATATTTATTCTTAAGTAATTTACATTGTTATGCTACTGTAAGTACTGTTTTGTCAATTTCATTTTTTTTTTAATTCTTTGCAACTTATGTACAGAAATGAAATTTATTTGGTATTTAGGAAATGTACTATAGACAAATTTAAATGCTAATAAATCCTACATTACTTTGAGACTTATATGCTAACAATCATTATCTGTGAATGCTGGCATTCAATCAGGCTGGTGGGAAAAATATTAGAGATAGTTATAGAAATAGACACAAATCTTGGAAGGCTGAGAAGTTTTCATAGCTTCAGTAATTAAATGTATAGGGCATATGATGAAGAAAATAATGTGCTAGAGACATTTTCTTCTTGCTAATCAGACTTTTAAAATGCACTTGCAATAATACTTAAGATAATTCTTAGAGCTTTTAGTTTATGAAAGCTAAAAATGCAAACATCACCTGTGAAAATAACGGCTAGGGACTCAAAACTAATTTTAGTTGCTAAAAATACAAGGGTCTTTTTTTTTTAGATTTATCCAAGTTTGAGTCCCAAATACAAATTTTCTAATAGAAAATATTTTATGAAAACCTTTTTCTTTTATTATATTCAGCCAGCCATAAAGAGGCTAGTGACGTTATTAAATATACCAGTTGAAAGGAGTATATTTGGTATCACAACTTTACATTACATAGCTATAGGAGAAACAGCAGCTGACACTGAAAAGATTACTGTTCTTGCAAAATTATGTCAAATTTATATAATTTGCCAAAATTTTTAAAAATATAATTGCTATTTTAAACAAATATTTTAAATAAATTTTATGTTTAATGTTGTATCCCAAAATTCATTCTGTGACAATTTTATCTGGCTTTGACTGAATACTTATCTTAATATTTGGCAACTTAGCATTAGGAGAAAATGAGCTTCGGAAAATGCACTCTCGGGTGCCCAGGAAGCCCTCTTGCCCCTGCAGGCTTGAAAGTGCCTGCTCCCGCTGCCTGGCCTCTCCCTACTCCCGGTGCCTGCTCCAGAGCAAAGCAAAGTTGTGGCCAAGCCTGGGTGCTGTCACAACCCAGCTGGGTATGTGCGTGCTCAGAGTAGCACTGACACGCCAGCCCCCTGCCTTCTTAACGCCCTCCAGACTTTGGGCGCAGATGAGCACGGGAGGAAGGCCAACGTGGGGCTGAGGGTGGCTCGGGGCGGGCCTGCAGTTGCCCCTTGGCACAAACAGCCTGGGTCCCATGGACAACATGTCGATGGCAGCAGGAGGCAGACAGGCTTCTGGGTGGAAAGGGGCAGGCCCGGGGTGAAGCCCCACTTTCAAGCCAGGGATGGTCTGAAGCCTGGGCCCAAGGCTGTCAGTTCTGGGTGGAGTCTGCAGCCTGCAGTGATGACTTACGTTACTTTTTCTGGGTGGGCCCATGGCCACCCATGGACCAATCAGCACGCACTTCGTCTCTGCTGAGCCATAACCCCCCCCCCGCCACCCCCCACGCCAGCCGACTCACACACAGATATGGGGACTATTAGCTGCTGAAAGGTGCTACTGCTCACTCCTGGTCTCCTCTTCACTGAGAGCTGAACACTCATCAGGATGACCTGCCTGCAGAAAGAAGCTACCCACTTCGGTCTCTGAGAGCTATTCTGTCACTCAGTAGAGCTCTTCTCTGCCTTGCTTTTGCTCCGGTTGTACCTCGTTCTTCCTGGATGTGAGACAAGAACTCGGTGCTGGCCAAACGGCAGGACTGAAGGAGTTGTAACACAAACAGGGCTAAACACCTCCTCACCCCTTACACCATTACAGGCAAAGAGAAGGAGAAAAGAGCTGTGGCCCTTCAGGGAGCCCAGACCTAGGGACTCCCTGAGCCAGGGCTTTGACACCCTCTTTGGGGCTCTGCAGTTAATGGCATCTCCAAGCTTCTGGGCACCACAGTGTTCCCCTCCTCTAGACAAGAGTATCCACAGCAGAAACTACTTGTGATGCATCTTATCCAGCCACAGGCTTGCATGGAGCCAGCACTTGTGCCGGCCCTTGGAGCTGCCTGACCCAGCGCAGCAGCCGGCATGCCTGGCTGTGCACAGTGGCTGGACCTTGTGCTTGCTTGCTCACACACCCCTTGCTGTTCTGAGCCTGGATCATGCTTGGCAGGCATGGGATCTGGGCAGATAGTGCAAGCTGAGCACATCCTGCCAGGTTGGGTGGATGTAATGAGCCCAGCAAGCCCAAACAAAACTCAGGCAAAGGCCTCACCAGCCACAAAGGGTTCCAGCTGGAAAAGCCACACCCTAAGGGTCCTGAGACAATAGTATCATTCAGTTCTAGATGTTTTTAACTTCCACTGTGATATCTTTTTAACCTGTGAAGTATTGAGAAATATGCTTCTTAATTTCCAAATGTTTGGTGTGGATTTGATTGGATTTTGTTTCATTAGTAACATTTTCTTATGTGTTTCAATTTTCTTGTGTATAGTCAAATAAATATGTTAAGCCTTTCTTTATGTCTGTATTTGTCATCAGTTTGTAAATGTTTTACATATGCTTGGAAGGAATATTTACTCACTACTGGAGTGACGAAAAATTCTTTATATATGTATTAAATCAAATTGGTTTGGTTTGTTCAAATCTTCTATATTTATATCTGATTTTTTTGTGATCTACTTTATCTACTAATTACTGAGAAATGTGTGTTAAAAAATATGTTACTCTGATGGTAGATTTATCAGATTCTCTCTATAGTTCTGACAAATTTTGCATTACATATTTTTCTTTTTGTTACCCCATTCATAAAGTTTAAATTGTTATATATTTCTGCTAAATTCAACTTTTATCATTTATACTGCTTTTGCCTTAAAAGCTGTGTTTTGTCTGACTAGCATAGTTACAAAAGCTTTCTCTGGATTATTACATGCCTTCCGTATTTTTTGATGCTTTCATATTAAACATTTATATCCTTATATTTTAGATTTACTTTTGGTAAATAATATATAGCTTTTTATTATTTTAGTCCAGTTTGAAAATCAATGAATTTAAATAAATTAAATGTTATCACATTTTATAGTAATTATAATAGTTTTCATTCATTTGGGTTTTCTATTGCATTTCTCTTTTTTTCTTTTTTTTCTTCGTGTCTTCTTTTGGATTGATTATTTTTTACTATTCCACTTTTCTTTTGGATTCTTTTTTTTATTATTCCACTTTTTTGACCCCCAATTTTAGGAAACTGATTTATGCAATCAATTTTCTACAATTTTAGAATGCATAAGTTAAAATTTACCCATTTCCCAGATAATGCAGGAACCTTAAAACACTTTATCTATATTTATCATTTCCCAGTTTATTATCAGCACTACAATTCTCTCTATATATTTTTTTAACTAAGGAAATTATTATTTTTAAAAAAATCAATGTTCATTTGGATTTACCCACGTATTTACCACGTATTTTTAGCCATTTATTTTTTTCTCACTTTAATGGCTGATGTGATTAATACTGATTATCAAGGGAAAATAGGTTGGTTGTAACAACAGGGGCATAATGAGTGTTTTTGCAACCCAGGGGATACCCTGTGGCCACTCACAATACTATCCCATCAAGTGACAAAAGTTATCAAAACGGCAATGGCCCAATACGGGCAAGACTACCAAGGGCTCTGACCCAAGAGAAATAAAAGTTTGTGTTACCTCAGTAGGTAAAGAATCATGTTCAACTACAATCCTTAAAGAGGAAAAATGAAACAGGAAATGAGCAATGGAAGAAGGTATCAAAAATTTTAGTCTCAAAATAATTGCAAGTCCGAATGCATTTTTCCTTGCTTTGCTAGATATATTTGTGAGCATGTGTGTTGTGAGCAAGCTAGTCAATTTTTTAAAATTCTCAACCTTTCATTCCCTTATGTTTTATAGAAGTGCTTTTAGAAACTAAATTATAAATTTGTCTGTAAGATAAAGGATAAAACGATGGAATAATTACTAAACTGGAAAAGGCAAACACATTCCCCAAGGTGGACCCAGCAACTTGGGACTTTTTTTTTGACATGGAGTCTTCCTCAATTGCCCAGCCTGGAGGGCAGTGACGCGATCTCGGCTCACTGCAAGCTCCGCCTCCCGGGTTCACGTCATTCTCCTGCCTCAGCCTCCCGAGTAGCTGGTACTACGGGCGCCCGCCACCACGCCGGGCTAATTTTTCTTTGTATTTTTAGTAGAGACGGGGTTTCACCATGTTAGCCAGGATGGTCTCGATCTTCTGACCTTGTGATCCACCTGCCTCGGCCGAACCTCTGCTTTTTTAGAATAGGGTTAAAGGGATTTCTATGATACAAGATCTAGTTTCATAACATAGATAGCATGTTGTTTTTCACTATCATTTGGAAGTTAAATAAAGGTAAAAGTTTGAGCATGGTTTCCGAGTAGCTAAAAGGTTAGCACTTAGCATCCATTCCCAACTTTTTAATGATTTGTCTCCACGTGGTGATGGGTTAAAGTAGTTTATTTCCTATTATCTTTTACATTGAAAATGTAGCCCTTCATGGTCTCAGATCTATATGTGTGGGATGTCTCCTATAATACTTTTCATCTGAGACAAGTTTTGTTTCCTATTTTTCAGGAACCAAAAGGACATTGGAAACTGAAGCTCATGATATCCCAGGGTTAATAATCCCTCAGAGTAAAGGTGGGCTCCTGGGCTTTGCCTACCTCTGTGAGTACATATTGTACTTACTTGTGGCCTCTAAGGATTCTCACCAGCTTCAGTGCATTTAAAAGACTAATACAATTATCAGTATGTTTAGATGAGTGAATATCAGGAGGAGAGTAAATCAGGGTGTTTGGCTTGACATGCTGCAGTGGGGATATTAGTCATGGCAACTTTCTTAGTCTCTATATTTTTCAAAGATCTTTTCATTTTTTTAGGGGACACAAATAATGGATTACATGTATGGCTTTAGCGGCTCTTTCCATTTCCCCTTGTGCTGCTTTGCAATGAGTTAACTTAGCAGAGCTGACACAACAGAGCAAGAAGACAGGGTCTGAATAAAATGCAAATGACCCTCTCTTACAAGGCTTTTCCCAAGAAGGAAGTGCCTATTTTTACAGAGTTGACTGGATATTTCTTGCCATACTTCCTATCTCCAACTTCCTAAGAAATGTGCAAAAGTTAAGAGACAGGACCTTGCTTCATGGTGCTTCTTAGGTCAGACAATTTATGGAATAATGGGCTTTGGGGAGAAAATATTTACTTACGACTCTTGGCTTATAAATATTTTCCTGTAAACTATGCCTATACCATTTCTGGTTAGTGTTTTGCACTCATGGACTTTGCAGGACTTTTATCTTTTACTGTCTTTAATGATACTTAGCACTCTCAGCATTTTGATATCTCTCCATTATCATCTGGCATCTATTATTTCTGATGAGAAGTTTGCTATCAGACCAAATACCTTTTTTTGTATGGGTTACTCATCCTTTCTATTAGCTTCTAAAATAATTTCTTTTACATAGTCTCATAGTTTAACTTAGCTGTATCTAAATTTATTTTTGTTTTTATTCCTATTTTCTTATTCGCTGTCCTTGATGCTTTGAGTCCACTTTTGATCTTAGGATACTTGGAAAGTTCAGATTTCTTCAAATATTTATTCTGCACCATTTCCTCTATTCTGTTCTTTAGGAACTATCACATGATAAAAGGTAGTTCTGCAGAGCCCACAGTCTATTTTCCATTGCTTCATTATATCCCCTTCTCTCACTTTTTTTTTTTTTAAATCTTGCATGCTATATTCCAGGTCAATCCCTCTTTTATGTCACTGACTTATTCTTCAACTTTGTCCACTACCAAGTAAACTACATTTTCTTGAGTGTTTGAATTTCAAAGACTGTGTATGTCCTTTCCAAGATTTCTAATTGGATTTGTTTCATATCTTCCTGGTCTTGCTTCATTTCTGCCTATTTTTGTTCCATTAGTCCTTGCTTTTCTTTAATAGAACTTATTCTTCATTTTTATTTGGGCACTAAATACATTTATATTAAAGATTTGTCAGACTGTTTCATCCCGTTAATTTCTCCCTGAGAAAATTTGTGTTCCATCTGCGGATTTTCTTGTCTGTCTTTCTCAGTATTACATTGGTCTCTTTATTAAGCAGATCCTGGGTAAAGAATCTGAGTTCAGGTAGTTTATTTGGAAGGCAACAAAAGCACCAGTAGGAGAATGGAGAGGGGAGACAAGGAAGGAAAGCGGCCAATAAAAGGTGGATCACCAGGCCAGTTACTCTTGTGTAAAACTAGAGGTGAAACTCACAAGGAAAACTCTGGGAGCCTGTGTAGAGCAGATCTCTCAGACTCATCCCACCCAAGGGTCAAGGGAATCTTTATGTACCAATTTCCTTTAGTCAGTTTGAGGCTGCTTCCAAAGGGCATTAATTCTCCATCACTTTTAGCATGCCAGACCAGTGGACAAAGCAGGCTTCAGTGGCCATAGGAAAACAAAGACAAAGAAAGCCAGTAGTTAGAAGTCAAACCAATGTCATGCACTGAAGTGCTGAGTGCAAGGAGATAAGGACAGTATTTGTTACAGCATTAGCTGCTTCCATGTTTTGGCTGGCTTGTAATAGGAATTTCACTTGTTTCTTTGTTATCTCGTTTTATGTATGATTTAGATGTTTTAGCATAGTGTTTATCCAGCCTTAAGGTCCCGAATCCCAAACCAAGAGCATACAATGACCTTCCCGGGCCGCTGTCCCTTGACAGTGCTGGGGGTAATATTGATCCAGTCAGTGCACTGCTAGGTTACTTTGACCACTTCTTTGTTGCAAGAATATGTCCATATTTGACTCCCAGCCTACAACTTGTTAAAAGCCATAGCCTTTGGCAATATTTAGCAACTTGTTTTCAGCGTTATTTTGTAATCTAGAAAGCATTGGTTTAAGCAGTCTTGTTTACCAGGTAGCAGAATGTTACTTGTGTTCACTGTCAACCTGCTTCTTAACTTGGAGGACAACAAAATTGTGAGTTAAGACTCTTTCACTACTTTGCATTTATTTTAATTTTCACTTTGAAAAGTTATTTCTTTTTTTTTTTTTTTTAAGCTTGGCTGTTTTTTGGTCTTCTATTTGTATATTTTACCTATCATTGATGTGTTTGGGCAGAGGGAATATTACAAATTGTGATTTTACCATGCCATGTTGTCTGGAAACTTTTTACCTTTCTATTTTAAATAGAAAAATATAATTAATTTTTTCCATATGTGACGGCAAGTTGGGCGGAGAGGAAGATCTGCCTTTTTGTAGCCGTTTACAAACACTAAGTTGCACTAAGAGCTTCTCAATGTGAATTTTTAAAATTTCATTTAGAGAAAACTGTATCTGTAACCTTTCTGTGGTCTAAATATGACATTTAAAAATAAATCAAAGGTCTTGATTCACTGTTAACTAAGATGTTCTAAAAATAACTTGTCCAATTTTTGAGATATAATAGATCACTTAGAAATTATCCCCAAAGAGTAAATGAGATTATTAAAAAGTTGAAAATGAAATATCCAAGGATAGAGAATTAAGAACTACAGAGAATAATTCTAAGGACTTTACCCTTTTCCACAAGTATGCCAACAGCTATAGTAAAAACAAAGGAAATCTACCCCATGTCCTCTTTCTAACCTTGCCCACACCCCTCTGCTTTCAATTCAAAACCATTCAAAGTTTGGGAAGCCCGCAGACTTATGTGGAATGAGAGTTCATCAGGACCTCTATGTCTAAAAGCTATAGATTAAGCACAAAGAGAGGCTGTACAGACTTCCCAGGATTGAATTTAATAGCTGTAAGAACAAAGGAGCAAAATATCCTGGACAAAGCCAATTCTGGTCATAAGGTAATCTCATAGTAGGACCTAAGTAAATATTAAAATATATTTCCTCCTACCTTCTCCATATGTTACTCACATGCAGCAAGGTCACTAGAATAAATAGATATTCTGATGCATAGTAAGCCTGTATCTCTTTATACATGTCAAGTAAGAGAAAATAAACACTGACTCATCTAACATAGAACAACTGTTTCTTTCATATCATGAATATTTTTACTTTGCATAGAATGAAACTTTATTTTATAAAATTAATTAAACACTATTAGAAGCCACTACAAGTGAGTAATTACCAAGTCCTCATCCTCAGAAAATTTTTGAAAAATAATATTGAGCCTCACAGTCTTACTGAAGACCAAGATGGAGCAACACTTTTAAACTCCCACCGTGCGGCAGACAATGTGTTAGGGTCTTATGTATATACACTCTAAGTATCATTTATAGCCTACCAGCCAAATACAGTGTTATCTTATAGGTAAAGACACTGGGAATCAGAAAATCAGAGTAGCTGAGCCAGGATTCAAACCATTTTTTTCTTTCTTTAAAATTTGTGCTTTTTGTACCATAGCATGGTGGTATGCTCTTTGTAGGATTGGTGTGAGGGCTGGAAATGATACATGTGTATCTCCTGGCACACAGGATGAAATCAGTGTTTATTCTGTATTGTGCAATTATTACTGTTACTTCACACTGTGTCCAGGTGGATTAGCATAGGTCCTATGCTACCTGTATAGAAGTTATTTTGTAGAATGTCTGCTTTCCAATTTCAGTTCACCTTGTGGCCACTTACTACCAGTAGCCAAAATAAAAATGAGACAAGCTAGCTTACTGGGGCTGTCACAGAAACTTACCTCTCTGTACAATCGAAAGCCCCTGGCTTATTTCTCAAACAGGTATGCAATGAGGCTTATCAGCTGTGGATGCGTTCCCAGATCTGACTTTTGATGTAGATCTTGACCATTCTGCTGTACAAGTTTATTGAACATTGGGGTAGCACCAGGGAGAAGTAAGGGTGGAAAGACTCATTTAGCTATTTCGGAGAATAAAATGCCAATAAATCACCATGGTATAGCCTAGTATTTGCTTAGAACCCCCTGAGATTTCCTGGGTAAATAGCCAAGAGAGGGCAGAAAAGTAAACTTGTTTTTTTCTCTGCCTCAAAGTGCTTAGAAAGGAGCCTGGAGGCATTGGGAGGACATAGGTAGCCTTTTTCTTCTCTGTTAGCATTCTCCATCCTGTGTCTTGGGCCACTCTGGCAGCCTATCACTCACTTCAGAGTATTTTGTCCCTTTCACTTTAACTTTGTAAGTTTTTATAGATCATTTTTATTATTTTACAGAAAACCAGAGGCCCTACTTGCATAGTAGACCCAATGAAATAGCTACATTTTAATTAAATTTACGCTGCTTTTATTACACTAGTGGGTAGCCTTCACTACTACCCGAAGAAACCCCAGAGCCATCAGATGTACTTCACATGTAATTAATCTCTAATGCTCGATTTTGTAAGATATGTAATAATGCTGCCTGGATAGAAATGAGAGCTTCAGAGAAGAGTCATATTAAAGATGAAGAGAGAAGCTTTAGGAAGAATTGGTTTTCAAGAGAGCAACTAAGTGTGAACTTTATTAAAAGGAAAAGAAATAATGGGAATAGCTTGCATTAAGTAAAAATGCTTCACATCTTCAATTTTTCAGTTTCTTTTATTTTGCCCCAGACAATTGTTTCAGGGTTTGTTTTTATAATGCATACCATGTGTAATGTTACATTTATAGCCTCATAGATTTAATATTTGGGCAAGGGCAAGATTTGTTGTGTTCAGGAATTGAAAAATAAAAAAGGAGAGATAAAGAAAACCCCCACTGTAACTAAACCTCTTAGAATTTAAATCCTTTCCTTGAATATATTTTAGGATATTATTTTCAAAGCAAGAATTTTTAATTATCAAACTAACCAATGACATATTAAAATGCTACCCAAATCACTCATGCTGCACTTTGCATTTTTCGCTATGCCTAAAAATGCATCATCTCACTTGACCCTCACACACATTGGGAGGAAGAGAAACACTGTTGCCCTGTGTTTTACAAAGTATGAAATGAAGAGCTAAACAGTCAAGTTGTTTATGGACAGTCAACCAGGTAGCTAATGTAACCTATGACTTCTGATTTATAATGTAATGGCTTTTTCACTCTACCATCCTGATCCTATTGCCACTTCTGGACCTTTTCAAAACTTCATGTATATCTCCATATACACCTCATCTGATATTAATAACATTCTAATGATTGCAGATTAAGTTTTGGAGAAAAATTTATCTAGAAGAGGTCATTCCATTACTCTCTAAAAAATTCTTGGTTATCACCATGTAGCTTTTGTGACACAAGATCGTTTTATGATACCCCTTTTCTGGCTTCACCCTTCTCTTGGATTCTCCACATTAGATAACAGTATCTCCATCTACTCCGCAGGACACGTTAGAAACTTTAGCACTATTCTTGACTCTTTTCCCCCATTCATCATATGCAATTACCAAGTTTCTTATTCTACCTTCAGAATGCCTTGGATAGTCAATATCGCCCATTCTGTTCATTCCCACTGTCACTGCTCAGATTTAAACCCCTATGTCTTTGCTGAAATCTACCCATAAACCATAAATCTAATTTCTCCTCACTCTATACTCAATGTGACAAATTATTGGAACTATTGTTGGAAAACTTTGATTCAATCATGATTCTTCTCCACTCAAAAAACTGTATTTCCTTCCCTCTGCTTGCAATAGAACATCCAAGCATGTGAACATGTTAACCATGTCTTTCCACACTTGAACCCAGTATTCTCTTCCTTTCGTTCTACCCTGTACTCACAGCAGACAACTCACCAACTCCTTGTGTGCGCTGTGTATGTCCAACCTCTGTGCCCTTGCTTGTGGGCAACTTCTTTCCATTTACATGGCCAGATCCATCTGCAAATGTCCTAATCATTCACTCCGTTGAAATGATATTTTCCCTGATTCCCCCTTGCCCTCCAAAGAATCTCTCGGCTTCTCTATTTTTCATCATATTAAATATAATTTTATTATAGCCCTTTCATATTGTGTCTTCTTCATTTTACATCTGATATGTGGAGAGCAGAGTCACATGAGCTGTGTGAGAAGGTTAGGTCCCTGCAAATTAACACTAAATTTTTTTATTAGATGTAACTGGGATGAAAGACTCACAGTCTGTCCAAGAACTAGTAACATTTAGACTTTTTTTTTCTATCTTTTAAAAAATATTTTCCAAGCCACCAGGAGAGAGAGTGAGAAACCATGATTTAAGTAAAAAGGGCAAGAGGAATAATACTACTTAGCACTAGTTCTAATTATGTTAAGCATAGCTTAGCTACTAGAGTCTCCTTTATATGGTCACTCAAGTGGACACAAGCAGAGAAACAAAAGGTTAACCTGCCTGGAAGAATCCATGTGGTTTGGTGGGCCTTTCCAAACTCCACCTGCTCTACAAGTATTTTAAGGACATGTGTGTGTGTGTGTTGGTATGTGTGTATTTGAGTATATGCATGTATTTTATGTTCTTGAGGTTAGTCCAGCTATACTACATTTTTTAATTAGCAGTCTGAAATATAAATATTCACTCCAACACTTAACAATACTTGCATGCACAGCCACTGCTGTGGTGACCAACTCTGAGGGGGATCCAACTGAGTTCCCTCCAGAAGCAATCCCAGATATTGTCCTGTGGTCGGAAAACATGCTCTGTATAATTCTGATTCTTTGAAATTATTGAAGACACCAGGCGCCGTGGCTCATGCCTGTAATCCCAACACTTTGGGAGGCCGCAGCTGTGGATCACCTGAGGTCAGGAGTTTGAGACCAGCCTGGCCAACATGGTAAAACCCTGTCTCTACTAAAAATACAAAAATTAGCCAGGCATGGTGGTGCAGGCCTGTAGTCTCAGCTACTTGTGAGGCTGAGGCAGGAGAATTGCTTGAACCCGGGAGGTGGAGGTCGCAGTGAGCTGAGATTGCGCCACTGCACTCCATCCTGGGAGACAAAGCAAGACTCCATCTCAAAAAAGAAAAAGAAAAGAAAAAGAAATTGTTGGAGACCTGTTTTATGGCCCAGTATATGGTCAGTTTTGCAGTTTTGGTAGATAATCCATGTGCACTTGAAAATAATATATATTTTGCCATTCTTCAGGACCATGTCCTATGTATATCAATAAGGTAAATTTTGTTTGTTTTGTTGTTTCATATGGATTCTTTGCTTATTTTATCAATTACTGATCATCTTCCAGTGTGACTGCAGGTTTTTCTATTTCTTCCTTTTAATTATATGTATTTTGAAACTATGTTATTAGATACATAAACATTCAGAATTGCTTTCTAGTCCTCATAGACTGACCTTTTAATTATTATGGAATATTCCTTTTTTAAATTTTAGTGATGTATCTTGTCTATGGTCTACTTAGCCTTCACCAGCTTCTTTTATTTAGTGTTTTCATGGTATTTCCGTTTTTAACTTTCTATTTTTATCCTTGTATTTAAGGTGTGTCTCTTGCATATATATATATGCTATATATTATTAGTTGTTTCTTTTAATCCACTTCAGCAATTATTGTCCAGTTACACTGAAAACAATTAGTGATATTTTATCTATCATATTAATTTTCTGTGTGCCTCACTTTATGTATAAATTTGTATTTTTTTGACAATTTTTTCAGGCAATGCCAGAGCTTTACAATACTTTAGCTTCTGTTCTTTTTGGTGTCAGTCCTTTAATTCTAAATAGATTTTAAATTCCATAAGGCATCATGATTGTTTTGTACAGCCATTATACCACATATTTACACTTTCTGATGGTTTTTATTTCTTCCTGCATTTTTGGATTTCAATTTAGGATCATTTTCTTTTGACCTAAATACTCTCTTTAGTATTTACTTAGAAGTGGCCATACTGGTATCAAAATATCTCTGTATTTCTTTTTTTTACCTAGAAATGTCTTTTTGCTTTATGTTTGGAGTTTATTATTATCTGATAGAAAATTCTAAATTTAAAGTTTTTATGTTTTCCAGTAATTTTTAGAAACCATTCTGTTGTCTTCTGGAAGTTTTCATCATGTCTGTTGAGAAATCGACTGTGTCTTAATATTGCTCTTTTGAAAGCAATGTGCTTCCCCCCAACCCCCCTTTAACTGCTTTTAAGTCTTTGTCTTTGCTTTTCACTAGTTCTACTAAGACATTGATAGGAATGTTTTCCTATGTATTTTATCCTTCTCGGGGTTATATCTCTTCTTGAATCTTTAGCTTAATGGAATTGTGCTTAATGGAATTAGCTTAATGTCTTTTGTTAATTTTGAAAAATACTTAGCCATTATCTCTTCAAAAAATTGCTTCTGCCCATTCCCTTTCTCCTACCATTCTAGGACTATAATTTCATATATGTTAGACCTTTTTTGAACATCCCAATAGTCTATATTGTTATTTTCTGCACCTTCTCTTTTTTATTATTTATGCTTCAATTAATAGTTTATCTCAACTCTTTTTCTTTGCCCAATCTGATATTAAACTCAAATACTAAGTTTTTAGTTTCAGTAATTGCATTTTTCACTTTCAAAATGTTCACTAAATTCTTTTTATATCTTTTATTTGTCTGGTGAAATTCATTATCATTTCATGCATTTTTTTGGATGTATTCATCAACGTTATTTTAAATTGGTGTCTTGGTCAGCTGTGGGCCTGTTTCTATTGTCTAGTTTTCCTTTGACTCATCTTCCTTTTATATTGAATAATATTTGTTAAATGCCAGACTTTCACAAATTAGAAATTATAGGCAATGGGAGGTTGTGATCTCTTTTCACCAAAGGTTCACCTTTTTTCCTGGTAAGCTACTAAAGGAGAAGTAGACACCTAAATCCAATGAGGAATCGATTTGATTTCATACTGGGTTTCACAGCTCATTACATTATTCCTAACCCTATTTCACCTCAGCTCCTAGGGTAGAGACTCCAGGGTATCCAAATGAGAGCCTAGGATGTTTACGTGGGCCTTTTTTTTTTTTCCCTAGGTCCTGAATTCACATTTTTGTCATTAAAGCGCACTCCATTAAGCTTTTCACCTGCCTCTTATATCATAAAGCTTAGGAACTGGCAAATTATTCAAAAGAAAAAGGAATGTGTAGTATCAGGCTTGCATCTCTGTAACTGTTCTTCTCTCCAGAACCTTGGTCTCTCAAATCCTAGTTATCTCAGAAGACCTAAACTCTAATTTTTGTCTCCTTAGTTCTATGAGATCACCAAAAGTTTGCTTATATTTCTTCTCCTAGCAGCTACTGTTTCCTGGCTTCTCAGCCCTTTGCCTGCCCTGCTTAAGAAACTGGCATATGTCTTAAGGAGAGAAATAGCAAGTAGAATGTTGGGATCACCTCCGAGAATTTCTCCCTCTGCAGGATTTTGGTCCCTCAAAGTTATGAACTTCTCAGAAACTCTCTGATGACTACAAGCAGATGTTTTTCATATTTTACCCAGACTTTGTAGTTACTAGCCAGAGTAGAACTACATTAACTTTAGCAATCACAGATTTTTGTGTTGTTTCTTTCTACTACAAAACGAGGCTTTCTCTAGTAAGAAAGCCTATGGTGTTGAAAGAAAAAATATAAGCATGTTGACTGATTTTGTAAAACAAGTTTACAGGGTACCACATTAGTGTCCCAGTGCAGTACTGAACACTAAATATGTAAAGAGTAACAGCACTATCTTTGTCCTTAAAGACTTCCCAGGCCATTTGAGTGGTAAGCAAATAAACATATGATGTGCACAGTGTATTAAATGCTATCATAGACATGTGAATAGGATTCTCCAACAAGCAGAGGAAAAGGAGATCTATTTAGTGAGGCAGTTGGGAAGGGAAACAAAACAAATCCTGTCATTACGGCACATTCTGATTTTCTCCATTTAAAAGGTCTCTACTGCTCTACAGGGTCAAAGGGCACATCTCCCCAGGTATCACAGAGATAGGTCAAAGTACTTTCAGCTCTTTATTGTCCACTACATATTAGTTACAAAAACACTGTAGAAAAGAATTGAATGTAACCTATATATCAGCTGGGACCTTCTTGCCCTTTGGATTTCAGGGTATAATTGGCCCAGACTCTAGACAATTCCACAGCCTATGATAGCTGCTAATTTTTGAAATTTACAATCTCAGCATCCCCAGGACTTCTGCCTCCTACAACCTTGTACTGCCTTTAGTTTTACTCCAAGTATGATGTGTCAGTTTGGAATCTTTATGCTTTAAGGAATAAAAATTCTGACTCAGACAATAAGGGGATTAAACATTAAAGGGGCTTTACTGACTTACCTAACTGGAAAATGAAATCGTAGGGTAAGGATTGGTTAATTCAAGTTTACATCATTGCTATCTCTGAGTTCTACTGTTCACACTGTAAGCTTCATCTAAGGTTGGCTCACTTGTGGCCACAGGATGCAACCAAGGCTGCATTTGTCTTCATTCAAGTCTATATGAGAGAAGGTTTTCCTTTCAAATTTCCAGCAAAATTTCTAAATTGGATCTTTATACAGGTAAAGTTATGCCCACCACTGAAACTATGGCTTTGGACAGGAAAACAACTTACTAGGTGGGTGGGGCTATCTTTCCTCAAGTGCAAGAACTGTGATTGAAGGCGCAGACTTCCACATGAAAATCTGGGTATCATTAAGAAAGGAGAACAAGACATAAATGCTTTGTACATAACCCAAAATATCCACTACATCCACCTAGACGTAAAAGTTGCTTCCCATTGGAGTTCCTTCCAAACAATTTATCCACACACAGAGCTCTAATGAAAATTGTAGGTGTTACCAAAGTTTATCTAAGCAACACAGAGGTATTGGTGTAATATGCATATTACAATGCATATTTTATAATAAAATTCCATCTCAGTTATGATTGCCTCCCTATCCCAATAATTTTATCAACCCTCCCTTATCTAGTATTATGTCACTCAAACTTCCTAAAGAAAATATCTAGGCCTTCTGACTCCTTTTACTTTGTGGGAAGCCTCAATACTAGGTAGCAAAGAACTTAAGGTGAGGGGTGGGGAGTGTGCAGAAACTTCTACCTTAACACTTATTTATACACCTCTCAAAGGTAATGGCGTCCTCAAAAGGAATTAGTGGAGAATAAATATGTCTCCATCTCATTACATTAGACGGTACCTCTTTTTAAAAAGTGAATATTTTCACACAATAACTTATGATATAGTTTGGATTTGTGTCCCCACACAAATCTCATGTCAAATTGGAGGAGGGGCCTTCTGGGAGGTGATTGGATCATGGGGGTGGATTTCCCCCTTGCTGTTCTCATGATAGTGAATTCTTTCTCATGAGATCTGATGGTTTCAAAGTGTATGGCACTTCTCCCTTTGCTGTCTCTCTCCTGCCACCACGTGGAGAAGCTTCTTGCTTCCCCTTTACCTTCTGCCATGATTGTAAGTTTCCTGAGGCCTCCCAGTCATGCTTCCTGTACAGCCTGTGGAACTGTGAGTCAATTAAACCTCTTTTCATCATAAATTAACCAGTCTCAGGTAGTTCTGTATAGCAAGTGAAAATGGACTAATACAACTTGTATGCAAATATATAGCATTCATCATAACTAAGAAGTGAAAACATTTCAAATGTTTATCTACTGGTGAAAGAAAAAACAAAATGTGATATATCAGTGCAATGGAATACTACTTAGCAATAAACAGAAACAACTACTGATATGTGCTGCAACGTGAATGAATCTCAAAGACATCAAGCTAAGTGAAAGAAGCCAGATGAAAAACTCCATATGCTTTATTATTCTATTTATCCTAAATGCCCAGAAAAAGCGAAGCAAACCTTATAGAGACAGAATGCAAATTACTGGTTGCCTTGGTCTGGGATGGGAAGTGGACATGCGGTATCTTTTGGGGGTGATAAAATGCTCTAAAATTGGGTTAAAATGATAGTTGCACAATTCTATAAACTTACTAAAATTATTCCATTCTTAAAATGTGTACATAATGATACATCAATAAGGGTTTTAGGAAAAAAATAGTAGATATGAACATGCTTTGATAACTGAAAAGTGTGTGAAGTGAACATGCGTCTCTTACAGGTGAAAACATTAATAGTCATGCTGTGAGTCATTTTCTCTTTTCCCTGACTCAGTGGTCATGGGAGTAAGTATAACATCAGTACTTCCATCAGTCTGGGTGTCTTTGTGACTACAACGAGCAGAACCACCACACGGACCTGCACTGAACACGTGACATGGTCATGAAACAAACTGTTGTTGGATAAAGCCATTGGAGAAAACAATATAAATGAAAAAAATACACATGTGCAATTCATGTGAGAGGTATTCATGAAATGACAGTGCTTTTCATTATAACCCAGATTTTTTTGTATCCCCAAACAGCCTAATATTGAACATGGACTGGCTTTAGATTACTCATCTTATGTCACCAAATAATTAAGGCTTTGGCAATTTTATGGATAGAAAAAAAAGAATATTTTGCCTCATAGATACCACACAACCATGATATGAGAGAGTACATTTCACCTGCTTCCTTGATTTTTCCAACCTCATAGTCTTGTCACAATGAGAGAAAAAAAGCCAAGAGATATTTCGAGCTTCTAAAAATAATTAAAAAGTCAAACGAGGTGCAAATCAAAGGTATCTGTGTTTTATTCTAAAGTCAAAATTATTGATGCGACTTATTATTTAATGACTAATGCTTTGACATCCTCATTGCATAGCTGCAACTGAAAGTATTAGCATATTGTGATATATTGGAGGCAAGCATTTTGGTTTTTATATTTTGCATTTAATTCATAAAACGTTCTTTTCACTTACTGCTCCCTCTCTCCCCTGGCAAGGATAAACTCATGCACTGAACTTAGATCAGCTGTCAGAATCTGTGAGCTCTGAAAGGACCCTAAATTTGGCAGAATACCTTCCCCCTCACAAGAAATATTCCAAATGAACAAGCTGGAGTCTGGGCTTTCCACCCCTCACAACCCAAATTTTTCAAATCTTTAAACTCCTTCCTTCTCCCTTCAGCTCTCAAGGGGAATTACACTGATAAGGTTTCTGTTCATCAAAAGAATGGAATGGCAGTGGCTCTGCTATTCCCAGGACACCTCCTGCTGGAAAAGGGCGGCTTCTCCCCTGAGAAGCTATTATAAAGAACAGTTCTCCAGCTCCCATCAGGAATATATCACTCCACTTCAGTTATTGTTCCTGTGGATTCCTTTTCCTCCTCTCTCTCCCCCACCCTCAAGCAGTTTTTAAAATCCATTACCTAGGGAGTTTCAAATTGTATCTGACCTATTGATTCCAAGAGATGGCCGTGCTCAATGGGCATGCAATACAATATACAACCTGGAGCCCAGAAAAAGGCAACTTGCTGATGAAGGGAGGAGGACAGAACAGTAAACAACAATCTGGAATTTTTAGGGAAATGAAAGAAATATTTATTAAGTGTTCTGACTTGGGGTGAGAAAAGGAGAAAATGAGAAAATGAGATGGGGTATATGAAGAACCTTTGTAAAGCATAAAGCATTATGCAGATATAAGATAGTGTTTTCATTAATAATTTCAAATGTAATCTCAATTAGTTCAGGGCTACATCTCATGCCTATATTTCATCCAAATATCTATTCTGGATTTTAAGATGCTCTGTTGCTGGCTTATATCTATAATCAGAGGATATTTGAAAAGGAAGAGGGTATTATACCAAAAGCTGTTAGGTCTCACACTTTTGCAGTGCCTGGAAAAGGCTTTGTGGAAGGTAGCAGGAACACCTCAGAAGCAAACACTACTTAAACCACCCTGTGATGCAGAGCATCTATCAAAGAGAAGTCTGCAGGAAAGCTGCATCTTTTGCACTTTACACTGGATATAAGTGTGTGGTCTAAAATAACTGCTATGCCATGGTCCAAAGTATTGGATAATATAATTCTGTGTAATTCAACCAAATCTTTATTTCATGCTAATCTGTGACCCAATCGCTATGTTAGTGTGTCTGGGGATATTAAAAATATGTAAGACATATTTCACAACCTCAAGGAGTTAAGCATATAATTGAAGGAACTTACAATTAATTGAATTGGTTAAAAGGTGGGGTGGGGAGTGTTACAAATTTACCAGATTTATTTTTCCTTTTATTTCCTTTAATGTATTAGCTTGGACAATCAACAATTGTCATAGTTTGGAGGAAATGTGAATATGTACAAATACAATGGAGACACCAGCTTTTATACTGTGCCTCAAGCAACAAAGCCTTTTTCTCTGTTCTGCAGAATAAGTGTCGAGACATACAGGATTAGACATATAATGTGTGGCCACTCTCCAGTAACCACTATTGAACTTCAAAATGAGTTTAGTCATTAGCTTTGACAAATGAGGGGCCTGTTATTGATTTTTACACATGTCTATCATGGGATCTATTTAAAAAGAACAGTCAATTCTAAGAAAGATTATGTTAATCTTATTGGTTTGATTTAATAATCGGAGGAAGCAGAGCAGGGAGTGAAAAAGAGAGGCCCAGCAATTGGCAATATCTGTATCATTTTCTTAAATCAATTCAAAAAACAATTTGGAAAAAATCAAGTCTATCTGTGTTTCCTAAGAAAGCTAAGAATATATTGATAAATCATTCCAGACAATGTTAACCAACACCTTGAGAAGTTCACGAAAAAGGACATTGACAGGAGGGATACAATTACTAATTTATTTGTCTTTTTATGGTTCAGTTAAGAGTATCTTAGGTAGTCTAGCACATGGCAGCCCGTCAAACTTCACAGGGTAGCTGTCAGAATTTTGACTGATGTACAAGAGCTCCTTGCTCATGTTTGCCCTTCCTTTCAGTGGAGTGCACACAGGTAAGACAGCTTGTTGGTAATTTTTATTTAATGCTCCCAGGATCTGTGGCTACACTTTTATTGAAAGTTCTGACAATAAAATTTCACTCCCTGAAATTTCCAAGGTTTCTGCTGTGAGCACATCCCCACTTAAGATCTTCCTCTGGGATTAGACAACTCTTGAGGGTCTTTTCTGATGCCTTCTGATCTTGGAGACAGCTGTTTAGTATTTTGGATATGGTTTTATTTTGTTTTGTTTTTTGTTAGCTTTACTGGAAAGGCATCTAAAAGAAAAACAAAACAGAAGGAATTAGCAGTGCAAAGGCACATCAGGGCTTCAGGGAGGCCTTCATAATTCCGAATTGGCAAATGCCAACTTGAACCCAGTTTAAGAATTTTTAACCTTTTCTCCACTCCCTCTCTGTTCCTCAGCTTCAATCCAATCCACTCATTAAATGAAACTGCTCATTCCATACTAGTCCTGGATGTCAGTTCTAGAAATTTACTTTATTTTTCTAAACATTGAAAAAGGTTTTAGACTAGAAGACTCAAACAGGCTTGAGTCCTGGACTATTCGGTGTTGGATCAGAAGCCTTTAAATTATACGGGAACTACAGACCAGTGTTCACACCATTTTAAATGCTTGAGCAGATGTTTGAAAAAAGTAAATTGCAATATGGCCATAAAACACCTTAATGTACTAAGGGCAGCTGCCTAGTATACTTCGTCTTTACTCCATCATACAATGCGATATTCAGAGATGTATTATTGTATTTCAAAGTTCATGATCAAAGCTATCACAATTTGGTTACCAATGTGAAACCCAAAACTTGACCTGTATTTTCACACAAAGTTGGAATTGCTAGGGAATAAGGCTTGATTGGTAAATCTTTTGAAGGCACATTTTAACAGTTATTAGAGATAATTATTTTCTCCTAAGGCGCTAGTCATGTGGTACACTCTCATTGTAATCATATAACCTCTTATATTTGTGTAATTCCAACATTTTGGAATACTATCCCCAACAGCGTAATTATTATTTCAAAATAGGATACTTTATCACAACATTAAAATGTAGGAAGTATATAAACTCAGAGTAAGTGTAGTCCTTTAAATTGAATGTTTAGCTTTATCAAATCACTAATTTCATTGTTGTATCGGTCAAGATAAACTTGATTATTCTACAGAAAAAAATACCCTAAAACCTCAGGGCTTATAAAACAACAAAATGCATTCTTTGTTCAAGCCACACGTATACTGACTTTTTTGGTTTTCCTGTTTGTTTTTTGAGGGATTGATATGTTCTCCCCCAAGGATGAGAAGCCTGAAAAAGTAAAAACAGTAAGGCAGCCCACACATTGTAACTTAACATTTCTCAATGGAAGGAACACATATTGGGTCCAGAATTGGTGGGTTCTTGGTCTCACTGACTTCAAGAATGAAGCCGCGGACCGTCGCGGTGAGTGTTACAGCTCTTAAGGTGGCACGTCTGGAGTTTGTCCCCTCTGCTGTTGAGATGTGTTCATTGTTTTGTCCTTCTGGTGGATTCATGGTCTCGCTAGCTCAGAAGTGAAACTGCAGAGCTTCCTGGTGAGTGTTACAGCTCTTAAGGCAACGCGTCTGGAGTTGTTTGTTTTTCCCGTTGGGCTCGTGGTCTTGGTGGCTTCAGGAGTGAAGCTACAGATCTTCCCAATGAGTGTTACAGCTCATAAAAGCAATGTTGACCCAAAGAGTGAGCAGTAGCAAGATTTTTTGCAAAGAGCGAAAGAACAAAGCTTCCACAGCCTGGAAAGAGACCCGAGCGGGTTGCTACTGCTGGCTGGGGGCAGCCTGCTTTTATTGTCTTGTCTGGCCCCACCCACATCCTGCTGATTGGTAGAGCGAAGTGGTCTGTTTTGACAGGGTGCTGATTGGTGCGTTTACAATCCCTGAGCTGGATATAAAGACTCTCCATGTCCCCACCAGACTCAGGAGCCCAGCTGGCTTCACCCAGTGGATCCCGCACCGGGGCTGCAGGTGGAGCTGCCTGCCAGTCCGTGCCATGCGCTCGTACTCCTCAGCTCTTGGGCAGTGGATGGGACTGGGGGCCGTGGAGCAGGGGGCGGCATTCGTCGGGGAGGCTCAGGCTGCACAGGAACCCATGGAGGCGGGGGAAGGCTCAGGCATGGCGGGCTGCAGTCCGGAGGCCTGCCCCGCGGGAAGGCAGCTAAGGCCCGGCGAGAAATCGAGCGCAGCACCGGTGGAATGGCACTGCTGGGGGACCCAGTACACCCTCCGCAGCGGCTGGCCCGGGTGCTAAGCCCCTCACTGCCCGGGGCCGTCAGGGCCGGCCGGCCGCTCCGAGTGCGGGGCCCGCCAAGCCCACGCCCACCCGGAACTCCAGCTGGCCCGCAAGGGACTGCACGCAGCCCCAGTTCCCGCTCGCGCCTCTCCCTCCACACCTCCCTGCAAGCTGAGGGAGTGGGCTCCAGCCTTGGCCAGCCCAGAAAGGGGCTCCCACAGTGCAGTGGTGGGCTGAAGGGCTCCTCAAATGCCGCCAAAGTGGGAGCCCAGGCAGAGGAGGTGCGGAGAGCAAGCGAGGGCTCTGAGGACTGCCAGCACACTGTCACCTCTCAATATCACCTCCACCCATGTTTATAGTCCAAAGCGAACCACATGACTCAGCTCTAGTTCCACAGGGCAGGAGTTTATAAAACTCTTGCATTGAGTGACTGGATATTAGTGGACATTACCTAGACACATTTTTCGTTGTAAAAATGAAGAAGCCCCAGTGATTTTTCCATCTCTGCCTCCTAAGTGGCTATTACACCAATGGGCCTATAGTAGAAGTTACTACTTGAATTAGGTTTCAAACCCACATTTTCTGACTTCCAATTCATGTTCCTTCCCATAGCAAAACCTATCTCCCTAGTGCTGTGATTCTTTTAAACGTGTACAAAGATAAAGATAAAAAGTATATTTATAAAGAAGTCAGAATGCAAGGAGTGCTCCTACATCTTTATCTTTTTGTTTCAGTACCATCCCCTAAGGTAATTATGTCAGGTGTTTTACCCTGACTTTGGATTTAAGGAAACTAAGTTTTAGCAAGAAAGTAGCTTACCTAAGATCCTATAATAATTGGTAGAGCAAGACTCCTGTCTGAATCCCTGAATCCTGTTGTGTTCGGAGTCCTGGTGTTTGCCAGCCATCTGGGTGGCAGCAGGCCCTGGAGTGAGCAACGCACCCTTAAGATCTACTACCCTGCATCTGTTTCAGGTTTGCTTGTGTTCAAACTTTTTTGTTGTGAACTTCTTTTCAATCCTTTGCCCTGACTTTTCTCGCACTGTAGTGGGGAGATACTAAAGCTCATATCAAACTAGAGATGCGCAACACGTTTTCCTTATGATGTGAGCTTGTGACGTCACTATAGGCCAAGGCAAAGCAAATTCAGAAGCTGCTTACAGAAGCAATGTCCCACATCGTTTGATTTCAAGCTTTTTGTGAAACTTACTAAAATTAGGGTCTAAAATATTATTTCTGACAATTACATTGACTTTTCATGTTTTTAAAATTCCTTGATTTTTTTTTTTTTTATCGGTGGAGTTTTTTTTACATTTCACTCTAAGTTCTGGGATACATGTGCTGAACGTGCAGGTTTGTTACATAGGTGCAGCAAACCACCATGGCACATGTATACCTATCAACCTGTCATCTAGGTTTTAAGCCCAGCAGGCATTATTCGTCCTAATGCTCTCCCTCCCTTTCCGCCCCCCAGCCCCCGATAGGCCTCGGTGTGTTTCCTTCCTTGTGTTGATTTTTTAATCATAATCATACAGGCTCCTCACCCTCCTTGTTTCTGTCTTACATTAATATGTTTATTGGCTGAGTAACATTCAAACTTATCCCACTTTTACTGAGAGGTACTAGGATACTGATTGTAAAGCATAGGCAAAAATAATTCAGTTCTCCTTTCTAAATTTCCACTGATATTCAGCTGTCTACATGATACCAAAATGTTGTCTCTTTTGTCAGCCCACCAAATGCTCCCTGAGATTCTGCTACAGCATAAAAACAAGTTTTTGGATCTTCAGAGAGAATGTTTGCCTGACCTTGCCCCAAAAGTATACAAAGATCAGATAGACATATTAGAAATAAGCCTACATATTTTTATATTTTAGTTGTAGATACAAAAGTATCTAACATTTTCTTAGAAATTAGAAATTTCTAAGTTATTTTACCCTGATAGGAATGTGGTTGTTTTAGGTCTTGAAGGATTATTGGTTACCCTGTGGTTTCTGTGAAGTCCAGATGTTTTCAAGATGGTGTTATGTGTGAAAATCATATATTTAGAAAGATTCGAGCTCTTAGACATTCCCTGGAGGTAAATAAGTTTAACACTTTGAGGTTCAAATGAGAATACAGATATTTACATAAGATTTTGCAAAATATATCATTTTAGTTATGTTTATAATCTCTATATAGTTATTTTAATATTTTAATAGTGCACAAATTAAAATGTAATTAAGTAATGTGATAATCAAAATGTTAATTTATTCAATGAAAATTGAAATGATTTCAGTCAAAGTTGATTTCATTTTTGAGAATATTTTGAAGTCATCAGTGTTTTGGAAAATAGAAAATTCACCTTAATGTGAGTTAAAATTACTGTTTCTTTCTTAACTGTAAAATGGTATGACAGTATCTCTCAAACCAACATGAAGATTAGGTACACTGTAGTTAACACAGTGGTAATTCTGCTGACATTAGTTTAGAAATTCTTATAGATTAATATTCAGCTGTCATTAATATTCAACAAATCCAGTAACACTTTCTCACTTATTGAACTTGACTTTTCTAGCATGTCTGACACAGTTTACCATCCATTTCTTCTTGAACGTTTCTCTTTCTTCTTTTATATATATATATATATATATATATATATATATATATATATATATATATATATATATTTTTTTTTTTTTTTTTTTTTTGAGACAGAGTCTTACTCTGTCACCCAGCCTGGAGTGCAGTGGCGCAATCTCGGCTCACTGCAACCTCCTTCTCCGGGGTTCAAGTGATTCTCCTGCCTCAGCCTCTTAAGTAGCTAGGACTACAGGCATATGCCACTATGCCTGGCTAATTTTTTTGTATTTTTAGTAGAGACAGGGTTTCACCATGTTGGCCAGACTGGTCTCGAACTCCTGACCTCAGGTGATCCGCCCGTCTCGGCCTCCCAAAGTGCTGGGATTACAGGCGTGAGCCACCAGGCATGGATGAACATTTCTCTTACACAAACTTCACGAAACTGAACTAGCCTACTTTTGCTCTTACAACTCGCATCCCTGATTGCTCTTTATTTTCTCCTCAGATTTCTCTTCCTCTCGTATAACATACACATAATGGATTTTTCAAGTCTTGATTTTCTTTCTACAATGTCTTTGTTTTTTCAAACTTTAAGTCCAGGGGTACATGTGCAGGATGTGCAAGTTTGTTACATAGGTAAATGTATGCCAGGGTGGGTTGCCTCACAGATCATCCTATTACCCAGGTATTAAACCCAGCATCTGGTAACTATTCTTCCTGATGTTCTTCCTTCTCCCACCCTCCCCCGACCTTCTGACAGGTTCCAGTGTGTGTTGTTCCCTCAATGTGTCCATGTGTTCTCATCATTCAGCTCCCAATTATATGTGAGAACACACAGCATTTGGTTTTCTGTTCCTGTGTTAGTTTGCTGAGGATGATGGCTTCCAGCTTCATCTATGTCCCTGCAAAGGACATGATCTATTCCTTTTTATGGCTGCATAGTATTCCATGGTGTATATGCACCACATTTTCTTTATCCAGTTTATCATTGATGGGCATTTGGGTTGGTTCCATGTCTTTGCTATTGTGAATAGTGCTGCAATAAACATATGTGTGCATGTATCTTTTTAATAGAATAATTTATCTTCTTTGGGTATATACCCAGCAATGGGATTGCTGGGTTGAATGGTATTTCAGCCTCTAGGTCTTTGAGGAATTGCCACACTGTCTTCCACAATGGCTAAACTAATTTACACTCCCACCAACAGTGTAAAAGCATTCCTTTTTCTCTACAACCTCACCAGCATCTGTTATTTTCTGACTTTTTAGTAATAGTCACTTTGACTGGTGTGAATGGAATCTAATTAAACTAAAGAGCTCCTGCACAGCCAAAGAAACTATCAATAGAGTAAACAGACAACCTACAGAATGGAAGAAAATTTTTGCAATCTATCCATCTGACAAAGGTCTAATATCCAGCATCTATAAGGAACTTAAACAAATTTACAAGAAAAAAAACAAACAATCCCACTAAAAAGTGGGCAAAGGACATCAACAGACACTTCTCAAAAGAAGACATACATGCTGCCAACAAACATATGGAAAAAAGCTCAACATCACTGATCATTAGAGAAATGCAAATCTTCAACATCTTAGTATTTAGTTACTCTATGGAAGTGATTATCTTCAGTTCCAAATTTGCTGTTTCTGCTGGACATTCTTGTAAAAGTTGTCTGAACTTTAAATGTGACATTCCAAATATAATTTTTATTGTCTCTCCCACTACCAAATTTAAAAGCAGAAGCTCTCACAGACATTCACGTTTCCGCCAATGCTATTGCTAGTCACCTAGTTATCTAGGCTGGAAGTCTTAGCCCTCAATTTTACAAACCTCTCACTATGAAAGTATTCTCACTCTAAGTTGTTAAATTTAGTGTTCTAACTCTAAACTATCACTTGAATTTATTTTCTTCTCCTACTTTTTCTGCAAATTCATTTTCTTCACCTTAACTTGGACTGCTGAATAGACCCCTAACCAATCTCCCTACTTCTAGTCTTTCACTTTGCTAGTCCATCCATCATACCACATCTACACCAACCATCTCATCATTCCATCCTTCTGCTTGGGAAAACCAAACAAGAAAAATATGCTCCCTACTACCTGGACAACAAAGCCCCAAATTCCTAACCTCATTTTATTGATCCACCTTTTCTCTCATCTTCACCTATTCCTTCTTTCTCTAACCTATTTTTTTAATCTATATCTGCTACTATTCTTATGCATATAATCTGTTTTTATCAATAAAAATTACCCCATATTTTCTGACTGTAACTTGCAATTCCCTACCTTACACCTTTGACAAGTTTTTGTGCCAGAAATAGCACAGAGTAGGGGCAGATTGGACCACTTTCTTATCCTTGCCTGCTGGCCAGTTTGCCCCCTAAATACATAAAACCCAGGTGAAAACGGGAGGACTGTTGGGAGGCTGAGGCGGGCAGATCACGAGGTCAGGAGATCGAGACCATCCTGGCTAACATGGTGAAACCCCATCTCTACTAAAAATAACAAAAATTAACCAGGTGTGGCGGCGGGCACCTGTAGTCCCAGCTACTCGGGAGGCTGAGGCAGGAGAATGGCGTGAACCCTGGAGGCGGAGCTTGCAGTGAGCCGAGATTGCACCACTGCACTCCAGCCTGGGTGACAGAGAGCCAGACTCCGTCTCAAAAAACAACCAACCAACCAAACCAACAAAAAACGGAGGACCAGTATTGAAAATACAACTTCAAGGAAAGGCTCTATCTTTGAAGCCCCTGACAGTAACATTGTCATAGGTAAGTCTGCCTCATATGGATATATTTAAAGCAACCACTCTTTTGATACCTTCCTGTGCTATTCAGTCTGAACTCAAATTCTAACACACCCATTTAACTTTCTTTTATTCTTTAAATTGAAAGAATTTCTCCAAGCACTTCTATTGCATTTTATTAACTTCTCTAAGGAGCTATTTTCCATTATAGTATTATATTGTTTTATGTACCGACCTTACCCTTCATTTCTAGTTTATAAACAAGGTGAAGAGAATCTTTATAACAATCATTTCTGTATATTCCATATAACCTAACAAAGGCATTCAAATATATGAACTATTTGCATCCGCTTAACTAAATTTTTTATAGTAGTAGGAGTCAAGCTAGATTCTCTCCATTTTTAATCTGGTCCATTTTATTTGGTTTTTGTCCTGACATTATAAACCAGTAATTATTTATATTTTCATTTCACAAAGACATTGCATTGTGTCTATTATTTGACCTCTTCTCTACTGATCAAATTTATTTTGTTTTAAAGTTATTATATACTTCCTTAATATGTACTGCATCTTTATGGAGAAATGTATATACATACATACATATCCATACACACACACTTAAATAAACATATGTATATCTCTATATATGTCTATGTTCTGACTACTAGGATTTTGTGAGATGAAACATTTCTTGGAATCCATGACAATGATTTGTGTGTTTAACTTTTTGTGTCCTGTCAGTACATTACTCAATGCTGGATGCATAGTCAGTGCTTTATGTTTAGTATCCATTTTCAGTAAATTATTATATTTTTTGAAAACTCAAAATGTGGAGCACTGATCAGTCTTGTATATGTGTACATGAATTACAGCAATTTTTAATATCTGTATGTGGGAACTAAAAGCGGGATTGCTTTCCACTTCTCAGTTACACATGATCTCCAAGTCACACATAAAGCAGGAAAAATATTTAAATAACATTTGGGGAAGGCAATTTCCCCCCCAAAATCACACTGAGGAATCTGCACAATGCCTTGCACAGCTATGAACTTAGAGTTATCCTAAAGCTGTCAAACATCTGCATCTTTCACATCTGGGGCAGCATCTGTTCTGTGTTGTTAGAAGAAAACAACAAAATTGGGGTAAATGCCACAGCACAATATGAAATTCTACAAATCTAACAAATGTATTTATTTATCGTCGATCAAGTGGCCAAAAAGCGGTGTGAGGCCCATACTAAGATGCTTGATAATTGCATTTCTCAATTCCCTTTAGAAAACGCTATACTCCAGGCCTGGGAATAACAAGCTTTTGCATAACAACACTGGGGCCTATAAATAAGAAACTCATTAAGCTACCTGTAGCAGGCCTCTACCCCAGCCCTGCACTGGCTTGGGGAGCTTAATGAGGTGATAATGAGGAGAAAATGGTTTAGCTCCTTTTTGGCCTGGTTTGTGATGGGTAGCGAAATCCCAGTCTTCAGTGAAACAGCCACCATAGAGCCCAATTCATCATTCAGGGTGGGTCTATACCAGAGAAATAATTTGCTTCTAGGCCCCGAAGTTATTTGGCTCTCCTGTCTATGGAAACAAAGCAAGCTATTCATTCACATTTGAAGGGACTGTCCGAATAACACCAATAACGGGTGTTAAACTAGCTGGTCATTAGCATTTGAAGGGAATGGTCAAATAACACCAACAAAGGGTGTTAAACCAATCCACATTATAGGTAGTGGGGTGGGAGCACTGTGCAATTCTAAGTGGATTAATGCCAGCATTATATTCTCACTATAAGCCTGGCCTCCTCACTAAGGTTTTATATTCATTGAAGGCTGGACCAAACCTTGGCCAAGCTCTCCCCTTCCTTTTCCCTACAAATACAAGACAAAACAAAACAAAACAAAAAAAACCCAAAAAACTAAAGCAGTGAGCTGGGGTTAAGATTATAATGTTTAGATTAGAGAACAGAAGAGATCAGATCACCAATCTGTTGGGCATCCAAGCCACAGTGCCAAATTCAGTAGGATGTTCTATGGCGGTCCCCAAGAGGGGGTCGGGAGAATAGATTGGTAACCAGTTTTATTTGAATTGAGGTTTCTCAGTTACACTAACTGACACTGCTGCTAACCCTCTCCAAGTGAAGGAAAAAACGAAAGGAAAAGGTGAAATCAGAATTTCAAGAGGAAAATGCTTCAATGATCACTCAGTCCAGTGTTTCAACCCAAATGGAAATCCTTCGATAATGACCGTCAGGGAAGGACCTTCATCCTCTAGCTGAAAGCCACCTAGGAAAGTCAGAAAAAGCATACTTCTGGGCTACAGTCAAGGATCCAGTCCCTACTGTGGGCATTAATACTATTCTACCAGGGGAGGAGAGCTACATGGTGCCCATGTGCAGCACAACCCAGAATTCTACTTTCTTTCTTTCTTGCTTTCTCTCTCTCTCTCTTTCTTTTGAGACAGGGTCTTGCTCTGTCACCCAGGCTTGAGTGCAGTGGCACAATCTTGGCTCACTGCAACCTCTGCCTCCTGGGTTCAAGCCATTCTCCTGCCTTAGCCTCCCGAGTAGCTGGGATTACAGGTGCCTGCCAACGCACCCGGCTAATTTTTGTAGTATTAGTAGAGATGGGGTTTCACCATGTTGGTCAGGCTGGTCTCCAACTCCTCCTGACCTCAAGTGATCTGCCCACCTTGGCCTCCGAAAGTGCTGGGATTACAGGTGTGAGCCACTGCCTGGTCTCTACTTAACATTATTTCATTCTTCAAACACTTTTGTGGGGTACACAATAAAAAGCCTCGTTTTGTAGATAGGAAAATGGCAGTGAAGAGATTCAATTGCTTATCCCACCCAATGCAGCTAGGAAGTGCTGGAGCCGAAATTCACACACAGAGAATACGGCTTTCTATAACACACAGATTGGGACTCAGGGAACCAATATATTCAGCTGAGAGGAGATGCTGAAAATTTAAAGGTAACTTTCTGGTAGACATTCCAAGTAAATCATGGTCTATTGGACATACGAATTTATCTTTACCCCACACCAAATCAACCACAGAGAATAAAAACCATCGCAAGCTCATAAGGACAAAGACAATGGGAGAGAGAAAGACAGCAGTTGAGAAAGGTGTACATTACACTTAGCAATCCAAATAAACTTACAAATTAAAGTTGAACTCTTACTATCCACAAGGGATGGGGGAAAGCAAGGCCAATAAAAAGCAAGTCAGTTTATCCCGCAGAAAGTGGCACAAGATAGGGGGTATGGAGTCGGGGGCACAGCTGTAATCTCTGAACCAGAAGGCAGGATGAAGACTGGTTCAACTTCTGTTCAGCTCCAGGAACCCCTCCACCAGTTCACCAGGCCAGGCAAATGTTTCCTCCCACACCCTTCATCACCGCAACCAATTTGCTGTTGGTTGGTCAGATTGATGCATATTCTGCCATAATCTTGAAGCTCAGCAGGTCTGAAAACTTCATTTCCCCTTTAAATGTAATCTTCCCGCTGAACTTACTCATTTTGGTGAATTTTACTGAATTATCCCAATCATCCAGGCATGAAGTCTTCTTCAGTTTTAAATGCTTTTATTATTCAATATGTTTAATACAGATATGAGAATACATGTATGTTTTGAGAGACAATAGTAATATGAATACCTTTAAATCCGCCACATTTATGATCTAGAGTATAAACCACAGGTTTGCATTTACTGCAACATTCCTTTCCTGCTCCATCTTTTGCTTCCTCCCAGAGGAAAACACTATTCTGAATTTTGTGTTTTTCATTTTCTCACCTTCAGATGTTTTGTCACATGTGTATGCATCCCTAAAGAAAATGCTGCTTATATTCACTTCCTTTTAAGCTGTGAAATATTATCATACTGTATGTAGTCGCTTTTCAAGTCAATGCCATGTTTCCAAAATTTATCCACGTCAGCCGGCGCAGTGGCTCATGCCTGTAATCCCAGCACTTTGGGAGGCTGACGGGGGGCGGATCACTCAAGGCCAGGAGTTTGAGATCAGCCTGGCCAACACAGTGAAACCCCATCTCTACTAAAAACGCAAAAATTAGCCAGGTGTAGTGGCAGGTGCCTGTAATCCCAGCTACTCGGGAGGCTGAGGCACGAGAATCACTTGAATCCGGGAGGAGGCAGAGGTTGCAGTGAGCTGAGATGCACTCCAGCCTGGGTGACAGAGCAAGACTCCATCTCAAAATAAATAAATAAATAAATAAAAATAAAAGTTAAAAACAAATTAATCCATGTTATAGTATTTGCAGTGTTGTTACTTTGTGATATTCTGTGTATGAATACACCTCAATTTATTGTCATTTTCTTCACTTATGGTCATAGTTCTAGTTTTTTGCATTTATAAATTATGCTGCTATGTACATTGTGTGCATACCTCTTGCATATGTATATGCAGTAGTTTGTTGTTGTTGTTCTTATTATTGTTTTTGTTTTTATTAAATACCTAGGAATAGAGTTGCTGGTCATAGGATGTAGGGTATTTAAATTTACAAAATAATGCCAAATTATTTTCTACAGTGATTGTATTAGTTTGCACTCTCAACAGTACAATATGAGTTTTCATTTGTCTCTCATCTCACTAGGTTATCCCTGATTACCAAAAAGATTGAGAGTTTTTCATATTTAGAGAATGTTTCCTATTCTCTAAAATGCATATATACATATGCATATATACGTATGTGTGTATATAGAATATACACACATACATATTAGATATACACATATTATATATGCATACATGCATATTATGTATGTATGCATACTATATATGTAATAATGTGTATATCTACATATTGTGTGTGTGTGTATACATATATGCATTTTTAAAATATACTGTATCTTTTTTTGAGACAGAATCTCACTCTGCTGCCCAGTACAGTGATGTGATCTTGGCTCACCACAACCTTGGCCTCCTAGGCTCAAACAATCCTCCCACCTCAGCCTCCCAAAGAGCTGGGATTACAGGCGTGCGCCATCACACTAATTTTTTTTGGTATTTCTTTTTGTAGAGATGGGGTTTCACCATGTTGCCCAGGTAGTCTCAAACTCCTGGGCTCAAGCAATCTGCCTACCTCAGCCTCCCAAAGTGCTAGGATTTACAGAAAAATTGAGAAGAGAGTGCAGAGATTTCCATATATCCTGCAGTTTCCCCTAGTTTAGCATCTTTTTTAAAATGTGGTACATTTGTTACAATTGGACCAATTTTGACACATTATTATTAAATAAAATCTCCATTTTGTTTAGATTTCCTTAGCATTAGTCTAATGTTCTTTTTTCATTCTAGGATCCCATCTAAGCTGCCATATTATGTATGGCCCTCATGTCTCCTTAGGGTCCTCTTGGCTGTGACATTTTCTCAAATTTCCTTGTTTTTGATGACCTTGGCACGTTTTGTTTTGGTTTTTTGAGACAGTCTTGCAGCAGTAAGCTGTGATCACACCACTGCACTCCAGCTTCGACTCTGCGGGCTCAAGTGATCCTCCCACCTCAGCCTCCCAAGTAGCTGGGATCAGAGGCATGTGCCACCACACCCAGCTATTTTTTTTTCTTCTGATTTTTAGTAGAGATAAGGTCTCACTATGTTGCCCAGGCTGGTCTCGAACTCCTGTGCTCAAGGAATATTTCTGCATCTGCCTCCCAAAGTGCTGGGATTACAGGTGTGAGCCACTATGGCTGGCCGACCTTGGCAGTTTTGTGTATTGGTCAGGTATTTTGTACTAAGCTCCTCTATTGTTCTTTGTCTAGGGTTTTTCTCATAATTTGACAGGGGTTATGGGTTTTAGCAATCTAAAACATAATATTTTCTATCAGGTTCTTTTTTTAATTTGTAGTAGCTGTTTTGATATTCTGTTATTAATGCTTGCTGATTACATATTCTTCAAGTTTGTTATCTTCTTTCGCCTCTTCATATAAAACAAATTTAAAATTACAAAATAATATTTCTCAACATTTATTCTTCTTTGATTAATGTATGTGCATGTGTGTGTCTTGCCAAAGAAAATCTTTCCAATTCTGAGTTCTTAAAGACATTCTCCTAAATTGTAATCTAAAAGTTTTAAAATCTTGACTTACACATTTAATTATAATCTATTTAAGTTTATTTTCTTGTATTGTATAATGTAAGGTTCTAAGTGATTTTTCTATATGGATTAACAATTGTTTCAGCAGCATTTAATCTGTATCATGATATTTTTCCACGGACTATACACCACCTTTGTCATATATCAAATTTCCAGAGATGCCTGTATCTGTTTATAGCTGTTCTTTTCCATTCCATTGAGCTCTGTGTCCATCCCTGCACCGGCACCATACTGTCTTAAACCACAGCTGCGTGATGAGTTTTGATATCTGGCAGAGTAAGCTCCCCATTTTATTATTCTTTAGGAGTGGCTTAATTTTTCTTATGCCTTATGTCTTTTCTATACATTTCAGAGTCTGTTTGTTAAGTTCCTTTAAAAGTTTCCATTGGGGTTTGGATCGAAATTGCGTTGAAACTTTTCAGTGATTCGGGGTGTTTTTTTAATCCATGAATATAGTATTGCTTTTTGAGATTTTCTTTATTGTTTTTCTGTGTGTATTTTTTATAAAAGTCTTGCATGTTTTTCTTAGATTTTTAGGAATCATCTATTTGTTGTTATTGTACATTGTTACTTTAATTTTTCAAATCATTTATTGCTATTGTTTACAAATATAACGGTTTGTATCATCTTATATGTCTAGTAACCTTACTTATCGATCTAATTTTCCAAATATTGTTCCATAACATTCTTTGTGATTGTCTATATTGAGAAATATTTTATCAACAAATACGAGTTACGTTTCTTCCTTTCCAAATCATGTAAATGTTTTGTTCCTTTTATTGTAGGGGCTAGAAACTTTAGAAGAATGTTGGCAACAATTAGTTTTAGTGTACCTCCTTCCTGATATTAATAGCTATGATTCTAATGTTTTACCATTAAGAATGTTGTTTGCTGTAGGTGTTTGGGCAGACACTTAAAAAAAACCTTTCATTTTAGGTTCAGAAGTACACGTGCAGGTTTGTTCTATAGGTAAATTCGTGTCACGGGGCTTTGTTTTACAGATTATTTTATCACCCAGGTACTAAGCCTAGTACCCATTAGTTATTTTTTTTCTGCTCTTCTCTCTCCTCCCATCCTCCACCCTCAGGTAGACCCCAGTGTGTGTTGTTCCCCTCTTTGTGTCTATGCCTTCTCATCATTTAGCTCCCACTTACAAGTGAGAATATGTGGTATTTGGTTTTCTGTTCCTGCATTAGTTTGTGAAGGATAATGGCCCTCAGTTCCATCCATGTTCCAGCAAAAGACGTAATCTAATTCTCTTTTATGGCTGCATAGTATTCCACGGTATATATTCACCACATTTTCTTTATCCAGTCTACCGCTGATGTGCATTTATGTTGATTCCATGTCATTGCTGTTGTGAATGGGGCTGCAAAGAACATAGGTGTTTATGTGTCTTCATGGCAGAATGATTTATATTTATTTGGGTATATATCCAGTAATGGGATTTCTGGGTCTAGTGGTAGTTTTGTTTTTAGCTCTTTGAGGAATTGCCACACTGTTTTCCAAAATGGTTGAACTAATTTGCATTCCTGCCAACAGCTTATAAATGTTCCCTTTTCTCTGCAACCTTGCCAGCATCTGTTATTTTTTTACCTTGATAATAGCTATTCTGACTGGTGTGAGATGGTATGTCACTGTGGCTTTGATCCGAATTTTTCTCTAATGATCAGTGATACTTTGTTTCACATGCTTGTTGGCTGCACGTACGTCTTCTTTTGAAATGTGTCTGTTCGTTTCCTTTGCCCACTTTTTAATGGGTTTTTTTTCTTATAAATTTGTTTAGGTTCCTTATAAATGGGGTTATTAGACCTTTGTCAGATGCATAGTTTGCAAATATTTCCTTCCATTCTTCAGGCTATTTGTTGATTCTCTTGATAGTTTCTTTTGCTGTGCAGAAGCTCTTTAGTTTAATTAGATCCCATTTGTCAGTTTTTGCTTTTGTTGCAATTGCCTTTGGTGTCTTCATCATGAACTCTTTGCCCATTCCTATGTCCAAAATGGTATTGCCTAGGTTGTCTCCCAGAGTTTTTATAGTTTTGAGTTTTGAATTTAAGTCTTTAATCCATCTTGAGTTGATTTTTGTATATGGCGTAAGGAAGGGGTCTAGTATCAATCTTCAGCGTATGGCTAGCCAGTTATCCCAGCACTACTTATTAAATAGAGAGTCCTTTCCTCCTTGTTTTTTGTGAGCTTTGTCCAACGTCAAATGGTTGTATATGTGTGGCCTTATTTCTGGGCTCTGTAGTCTGTTCCATTGGTCTATACCAGTGTTGGGTAGATTATCAGTTAAAGAATACTCCCTTCAAGACCTAGTATGCTATAAGAGATTTGTGTTTGTTTTATACAAATATATTAGTGGATATTCAGTTTTATCAAATGATTTTTCTGTATCTGTTGAGAAAATAATTTGAGTTTTCTTCTTTAATCTGCAGATTTGGTGAATCACAGTTATGTTTCCTGGCATTAAATCACCCTTGAATATTTCTATAATAAATGTAAGTTGATATTTGTTACTTTTTTTCTAAAATTGGATGTGTTTTGAGAAATTTTTGCATATAAAATCATGCATGAAATGGACTTGGAGTTTTCTTACCTTGTATACCCTTTTTCTGGTTTTGATTTCAGAGTTATACTAGTCTCATAGTATGACTTGTAGTGCCCCCTATTTTTATGTCCTCTGGCAGAATTTATGTAAGATTGAAATGGTGTGCTCCTTGAAAGGTTTTAGACTTCGCTGGTAAAACCATCTGGTCCTGGTTTTCAAATACTCTAATACCTATATAATATATACATTTTCAATGCCTTTTCAAGGCATTTATAAGAAGTTATATTTTTCCATAAATGTGGCTATTGCTTTAGGTTATCTACAATATTTAAGTATTCATTGTTCCTTTTATAATTTCTTATATTAGGTGCTTAAGTTATCATTTTAAAATTTTTTTCTAATATAGTTTGAGGCTGTAAATATCCCTTAAATGTGTCACTTTTGCAGCATTGTACAAAGTTTGTTTTACAGTATCTTAATTATCATTCAATTGTGTTTTTTCTCCAAATTCCATTGTTTTCTTATCTATACCATGTTACTTTAAACTGTATTTTTTAGTTTCCAAAGTATTTAAAACATTTTGTTATGAATTTCTCCACAACTTGGATTGCCATAACCAAAAAAAAAAAAAAAAAAAAAAAAAAAAAAAAAAAAAAAAAAAAAAAAAGCATGGGCCTAAGGCATAGTTTTCCTGTCCCAGGACTAGCATTCCCATTTACCCCAAGAGCAGCATTTTCTTTCCTATTTACTCACATCTTGCCACTCTTACTCTGCTTTCAGGTCACTGTTCCTTTTTATTTCTTTATGTATGTATTCGTTCTGAGAAAATTTCCCTTTTTTTCATGTGATTTCAGCAATGCATTAAATCGTATTTGTGCAAGCGTATCCAGGATCTAGATGTTTTCTAGTAGTGGTGCTCTTCGTAGTATCTGCTTGATATCTAGTGAATTCTAACAGGGTTCTCCAACTACATTTAGAAATTTATTCAAGTCAAATGAAAATACAGGGCATTCAAAAGTTTGAAATGCTGCACAATATTTTCACCTATTCAGGCTATTCTACTCTGTATTGTTCCCCAATTGCATACTAAGAAAGGATTGAATAATACATAGCATTAGTCTAAAAAAGTTTACTTTAGCTAAGTTTGCTTAATTTCAGACTCACACCATCTCTGGTGTAGATAATTATGTGTATTGATTTAAAGGATCTTCCTTTTCAGCTCTTACCTAAAGATAAATAAATAGATGGTGTTCTCAAATTTTCTTGATTATATAAAGAGGTGATTGGAATAGATGAGCTCTAAGATGCCTTTCAGTTCTAAGAAAATATACTCGTGTCTAAAAACAAGAAAATAGTGTTTCCCATGAATTACCTGCCAGAGAATAATTGAGACTTCAGTAAACATTGCATTTTTCCTGTTAGTGGAGTAGCAACTTCTAAAGTACTTTTTTTTTTACCCTTTAGTTCTTAATAACAACCTAATGCTGCCCACAAGTCACTAATAATTGTTGCTGTATCTACCTGCCGTTTATAGATTGAGATTTAGTGCAGTCTCTGTTAGTAAATGCAGATGGATACTCTATTCCTAAAATCAAAGTTCAAGAATGTACCCTTGGAACAGGACTCCTGGGATAGAAGAACAGCTCGTCTTGCAGCCCATAACCAGACAGTTCAGAAAGACCAGTTTATTGAATTGAAGCAAATTTGAACCAAGGATATTTATGAAGGCAGAATCCAGGAAAAGGAAACTAAGTTTGTAAGGTTAAGAAAATACAAAGAGTGGCCTTGAGAGTAATAGTCATGGTCTGTGAAAACAAGCACTGAAGTACTATTTATGAAAAATACAGGTGGTATTTGGGTGCAAGTTGCAGGAAAATTCTGAGCTTTATAATTTAGGACTTACAAAAGAATAGATTTCTTGAGCCATCGAAATGACTTGTGAAATATTTTATATATATTAATATATATAAATATAAATATATAATTTTTCACAAGCCATTTTGATGAGAATATAGAAAAATGAGAATATACATGTGCACTCTCTATATATACACACAGTATATGCACTCTATATAGAGAGACACCTACACACATACATATACACATGTATTATGTGTATGTATATAGGTGTGTGTCTCTCTAGATATATGTATAAAATGAACTTCAATAATATATCATTTTTTCATAAAAGTCTTGAAAAACTAGATTTTATTTTTGCTTGAAATAATTTAATTGAAGTAATGAAATACTAGAAAGTCCTTAATGATCTTTGCAGGGACTTAACTATACTTAAAGATCTACAAATACAACATTAGAAAATAAACTTGAATATCTTCATTTTTGAGATCAGATTCATAGGAAATCTGTACTTATAATCACAATTGGCTTTGTTATATAATAATATAAGATAAAAATAATAAATATTACTATGCAGAATTGAGATAATTATGTAGGCAATAATTCCACTCCATAAAAATTAGTAAAATGATTTGAGATTGAAGAACTTGTTTAAATCACATTACTGTAAGGTACAAAATTTAATACATATTTTTCAACTTGAAAGGTCGACAGGGGAAATATATGTAGAGGAGTGACTAAGCAGCATACAAATATTCTTTTAAAATTAGATAACAATAAATCAAAATCAATTTCTGTCACTAACTTTTTGGAAGCAAATGAAGTTACTGTCTTTACTTTTTCAGGCTTGAAATTTCTGCTCATTCTTTAGTTTTCAATTATAAATGAAAAATCTTATCGTAAAAGAGAGAAAAAATGTCTGGGTAATTTATCTTATAACATTAGTGGGTAAGACAGAGACCTCTATATAGTTCTTTGAAGAAGCAGCTCATTCAAAGATGGACTGGAATTGTCACATATCACTCTTACAAGTTTTTTCTTGTACATCAATTTTCTTCTGGGAAGTGAATCTACAGTAATAGCAGCATTGTTTGTCAATGTCCTCCTGTGATTGTTAGCAATGCATCCTTGCACGTATTGTTTCAGACAAAAAATTAGTATTTTGCATTACAAGAGGATAATTAGGCAATAAGATACAAAAGCGAGTGTGGTTATCATGAGATAAACACACACATGGGGTGTTATGAAGCACAGCCAAGTGTCTGTAATCCCTCTAGGGTACGATTATCTCATGATAACCACATACCCTGGAGTTGCCTTATTGCTATTATAAAATATCTTTATTATAGGAAGAAATGTGCATTTTTGTGCAGAAAGGCGACAGAGCTGGCAATTTAGAATGCCGAACAGCAGTTTCAGCTGAGCTATGTGGTTTACATAGATTAATCTATCCCATTGGAATGTTTCCCCAGCCAAAAAAATGTTCCCTAAATCCAAGCAGTCATAATCTGTAGTGATGTGCAGCTATTTGGAGCATTTGAGAAATTCCCTGCCTGCTTCTTAGGCTGCTGGTTTGATGGTTGCATGGGGTGAATGCTGAGATGCACAATGATGAAAGGATATATGTACACAGTGTTCTGGAAACTTGGTGTTCTGGGAACCCAAATTGTGATTCATGCAAATGTCAAATTTCTACGCTACAATTTTATCTTGATCAGAATACATGTGTTAAAAAGTAGTTAAAAAGACTACTAAGGTAGAAACATAAACATTGGGATGAAACTCAAAAAGGTAAGGGGAGAGTTCATGAATGTCCTATGTAAGAGATTACAAACTTACTGCCAATGGACTGAAGGGGACTGAGGGCTTTAAACCCGAAGAAATGAGAGCCAAAGGAAAGTATGAAAAACATCCATTAATATCTGAACTATAATCATGAGTGGATTTATTCTCTATGGCCCCAGAGAAAATTAATTTAAGTGGAAATCATGGGGAAGGGGATTTCATTTTATCATGAGAATTCACCTTTAAAGTTTGAGTGGTTATAAAATATAATGGTGTTTCCTGAAAAAGAAAAACAATGTTTAAGCAAAGACGAGTGATAAATTAGGAGAGATTTCTTCATTAGAGAAGTTTCCTCATATCTCTAAAACTGATTCTAGAATAAAAATTAAAGTTAAGGACACACAATATCTGAGAAGAAAATCAACATTACTAAATGTCTGAGGACTGAAAAGAGATTGTGAATCCAAAGCATATCCCAGATACTTTCTATTGGGAGTAGAAATCAGTAGTTCTTGTATGCATCATGAGTTTTTAAGTATTCTAAATGCACTAAAATAAAACTTCATTGTATTGGGACATCTTTGCTGGTTAAGTCTAAAGGATTGGTTATATGAATATTATTAGATTTAAAAATCACAGTTCTCTTTTCTATGAATCTGATATATTACTAGCCTGATATTCTAAAAGTGATGAAATCAGGGCACGGACTGTAGACATTTTAGCTCAGTAAGTTTCCACTGTTATTAAACAAATGTGGGGTAAACTCACCAACAGACCAGTCTATAAATTGTGTATAAAATGAAATCAATATTTATATTCATGTGTGGGCAGCCAAATCTTCAAGGGGAAAAAAAGTCCATAAATTTTAGCCAAGCTTTGGTACTTTTGTTAATGGTCATCAAAATGTGTCAAATCTAAAGTAAGACTGTAGTTTAATATGGAATATGAAATCAATGCAATCAATTTGATTGAATAAAAAAAACTTCTAAGAATATATGCCATGCCTTTTAAATGCAGAAAAGCCAGTAACTGGTTTAAATGTAAACATAAATTGCATCAACAGATCTCCTACCCAGCCATGGTGATGCTTCATTGGTTTCTGCATTTCACTAACTGATAAGCTTTCATGTAAAATCAGTACCTCAAAGTCTAATATATTTTGCATTGTTATGTTGTGGGTTCTGTAAGCCAAAATATATTTTTGATGTATAACTCTAGATCTTTACTTTACAATAAAACTTGCCATGGGGAAAATTTAAAGGGGCACCATTTGTTTTCTAAATATGCAACAGTATCTTTCACGTAATTGACAATTGTTTCAACGGAATGCTATCATTTCTAGTTTAAATCCCCATCTTTTAATTTAGCCCTAGGCCATACCTTTTAAAGAAAATGCCATCCATGAAATATCAGATGATTCAACAGGGCCAGACTTGTGTACCTCCCTAGTAGAGCTGTGTGAAAAATTTCACACCTACACTGAAACTGCCAAAATATGCTTCTTCACTCTTTTCAGTACCAAGGGGAAAACATATACTTTTTCCCTTTGGGCAGTTTTGACAGTTTTAATACAAGTGAAAAGCAGGTTTTGCCAGCAAAAAAAAAAAAAAAAAAAGGAAAGAGAAAGAAATCTTGAATTATAATGTGACAACCTCATAGTCAAGGGAGAGGTGGAAGGGAGAGTCTCATCCAGGGATGACCACATGATCAGCAGCATTCATTTGCTTGTGGAGAAGATCAGGGCAAGTGAAGGAGGCCAGATGTTTTAAAGGAAAAGCTAATACTAAATAAAAATAATAAAACATGGCAATAAAAATTTGAGCTTCCTACAGCGTTTTCCCTTAGAGTTAAATCATAAGTAAGGCCAATTACTTCTAACAATCTATCCCACATTGACAACATTACTCCCTCCCCTCCTACCCACCCCATGTTCTGTCAACATTTAGTAATCTTCCATGGCATGAAGAGAGAGATATAAAAATATAAAAGTCAACTAACATATCCCTGAGACATCTCATTGCCCTGAAGAAAATTACCCTTTCTTCACTTTCTTCTTCTTGAAATTTTTAAGGAATTCTCCACCTTTATGAGAGAGGAAAAAAAAAAAAACCTTATTTGCAGAAAGGTTTTTAAATAGAAAATTGTTATTTATGATGACCACTTTTCTCAAACACTGCAATTCCCAAACACTCGAAAGGTTTGGAAAAAAAAAAAATAGGTCCAGAAAATACAAATAGATGTAGCATAGGGAATTCAGCGGAGCAGAGAATTCTTCTGGACCCATGAATTTCTATAGTATTTTACACTCTTTAGTCATGCTTTAAAACAATTGAACACCCAACATAAACATCAAGTCAATGGAAAATCAAATGTGCTGAACTGTTCTGCATCCACCCAAACTCATCTGGTAGAATACTATACTTTCAGAACACGTGGAATGAATTTTAACTTGACTCTTATGTAAAGTCTGCACTACATGCAGTTCAAAGCATTTACACAAAGATGCTTCTTTTGTCACTTTGAAGATAGGGTTACTGTGTATTGAGAGACAAAAATCGATGGACCTTTTATACAAAGAGGGAAGTCGCTTTTATATTGTTTGGCTTTTCTAATGATCTTAGAAGAGGACAATTTTGAGTTCTATATTTGTTAATTTAGAGAAAAACTGCTGATGAATGTATTTTAGGATTTGCCGTTTGGATTATCTTATACTCGCTCATTAAATAATGTAAATAGTCATTTCAGTAAATGCTGTTTTATTTCAACTTTTCTGTACCTAATCACCGTAGACTACTGAATCTACAAAACTAATGTCTGGGCATAAGATAAGCAGACACTATGCCACATGTCAACATTTTTAGTGGGGAGAGAAACAGAAAGGGAAATTTGTTTTACTGTTTGTATAGTTTTCAAAAATGAACTTTTCCAATGACATCACATAACTTTGTAGTCTCATTTAGAGTTGAGGTCAACTTTCCCTCCTGAGGACCCCTTCCAAACAACCATCTTCTGACACTATGGCTCTGGGGATTGGGGCAGGGCTTACAGTGTCTTCTCACTGTCAATGCCTTTCATTATCTCCTACTCCTCTCATCCACTGAAGTTGGTCCTCCAGCCTGCTTGTGTGTCCTCACGTCTGCTAATGCCAGCTCTAACCCAATACTGGTCCTAATGCTATTTACACTGTCCTGGCACCATTCAGATAGTTACCATTGGAACTGCTTCCACAATACTGCCTCTTCTAGAGATGCTAAAAGGTTGTACTCACTACTCTGCATAGCTCTTTCCCCATCATATCCCAGAGCCTTTGGGTGAAAAAGTGTTTGTTGAAAAATGTCTCCTTTCTCTTTCCCAGTGACTCACATTCATGTGCATAGGGGCTGAGATAGAAAAGTGGCCAATTCCACGTTATCCTCACACTGTTCCTTCCCTTTGACTACGGAGTAAAGGCTACAAGAGTAAAGTTTTGCCCTTGGCTTCCTCTCAGGACAATTTCTTTTCGTCACCTCCTCCGCTCATCCCACTTCCCCATCATGGACCCATACACCCAGGATACAGATACGGTTTTGTCTAGTTGTGGCAGACACTGATGATTTTTTTCCATTGTGTGTTTGCTCCTTTACTTTAGTAACAGAAACTCTCCACCAATTTACCCCTAAATCTCGCAAGACATGGTAAATCAGCTAGATACTATATTCCCCAGCCTCCCTTCTGGTGAGAGGTGACTTGGTTACTAAATTCTTGTACGGTGATGAACAAGAAGTGACCATTTAAGGTTGACTTATATACAATCCACTCTCTCTCATTACCCCTTCAGGGAATGACAAGAGCTGGCTCAGCTGCCTTGGGCCCAGAGATGGGAGCCACATGTCGGGGATGGCAGAGAGGACCAGGGTCTGGGCTCTACCTTCCTTCCATGGAGGAAGCAGAGCCACCAGCTTTGGACTGCCCATCTCTGAATTGTTACCTGAGAGGAAAATAGGCTTCTAGTGTTTTTGCCCCACTCTATTTTTGAATATCTTTATGACAGCATTTTGACCTGTACTCCAAATAAAATACTACGGTTGAAAAGAGAGGAGACATTCAGTATGTATTTTATTATGTACCAGAAAAAGTAGTAATCAATGAACTCAATCAATTTTCTTCTATATTTTGGCAGGAGATGTTTGGAAGGAAATGCTTTCACAATTACATCACTGAAATAACAACAAAAGGTGACTGGACACCTTTAGCATTAGGGCTAATACAGCTTGCAAATAAACTGAACCAATATCTCAAGACAAAAAAAATGAGGTTGAATGTGGAAATAGCCTGTACATATAAGAATTTTGTGTACCACAGAGTGTTAGTTATATCATCATTTGACTGACATAATGTAATAATTATTGTTTTAGCCTGCTCAGAGACTTGAAATAACATGTCTGCTAATATTTTAAATATACTTTAATAATCAGACAACAGGATGTTTAAATGCTGCATTTATTCATTCAACATATATTTGTGATCAATATGCAGAAAGCTCTGGCAGAGGATGTATCGCAGGTCAATGTAACAGTGATCCTGCAAAAACTGATTCAAATTGTATTAATATATGTGTTCAAATTCAGATGAATATTCACACAAGGCACTGAAATGTACATATCACTAAAGGGAAAATTTCTCAGTTGCACATTTCTTGATCTGTGTTTGTATATAGAGAACATATGAATATAGAAAAATGTAGAGAACAAATGAGGACATAGCTTAGGAGAAGGCTAATGGGATGTGTTTTAGCAAAAAGGCCGTAAGAAAATAAGAAAAGGAATGACTGGTTTAAAGAGCAACTGAGTGACAGGAGAAAGGTAGTTCCACGGGGTTGCATTAGGTAGGAAACTCGCATTTTTTTCTGACTTGGAATCTGTGGGAAGCATTTTTAATGTTATGTACCTCTTTGTATGTGTGGCTACATTACTGCCTTGTCTTTTCATGAAGGTAACTGGCTCAGCCTGTGAAATGTTCATTGATCTAAGTGGATGGGTCTGAGGGGAAGGGCTTGTCAGCTGGGACAGCTTATCAGAAGGGAGTTGTTCTTCCCACCCACTTCTTTCTATTTCTTCCTAAACCAGGGAAAATTCCCCTGGGAGCATCGAGGCCTCAGAGGGAACATTGCAGAGACTCAGGAGATGAGAAACGGTTTGTAAATGAGCATTTAAAACATGAAAACACTCTTGTTTTTAAAGCCAATGAGTATAAAGTACCAGTAGGAGACGTGAGTTGACAGCTGGGACTCTTCATCCGTCTGGCCGAGGGATTCTGAGTCAATCGCTGACGGATGAGAAGTAGGACTGGGAGAGCTTGGGCCTGTCAGAATCTGCTCAAAATTCCTGGGCTTGACATTTCAAACCAAATTCAAACCTTCCAGAGCTTGAGATTAAAGAGAATGTTTACAGAAAAATAAAAGAGGCTTGAAAATGCTTATTAAGAGGCATCTTAGAAATCTTTATAAAGCGTCATCTGTGATTATTTATATGCAAATGAATCTGAATGTGCTTGGCATACATTATGGGGGGTTTTCAGATTTTATCAAATCATGCTGATCATGAAAAAAGAAATCCACACCCATAGAGCCACTAGAGAGTTTGAAGCAAGGGCAGCTTGTCCATTCCCGGTTTGAAGCAGAACCGGGTAATGAAGGATACATGAGTGCTTTTCATTCAGTCACTGCAGGACAGCTTTTGCTCCTAGGGCTACATTATGAGCCCACAGACAGCTCCAGAGGTTCCTGGGAGCATGAGATGTGCTCAGAGCTTCAGATTTGTATTAGAGAAGCCTTGAGCAGGAATTTACCCTTTGCCCAGAAGAAGATTCTAGGGCCCGTAATCTCATTCCAGTGTGTTTTGGAGTAATCTGTACTGCTTCCATCAGGAGTTTCTATACTTCCCAGATGGTCTGGGAAGTACAAGTGGCCTCTCTCAGTAGCAAGACTGGAACCAGTATCCTGAGCCTTTGCTAATCATAGTCTGAATTGCTGAATAGGTTTCTCAAGTGCAGAAAGTAGCCAGAGAGTGGGAAACATAGACAAGCATTAAATAAAGACAAAAAACTGCCACCAGGTCCTCAAGCTGTATGACTAGGAAAGCCATGACTAGGTTATACAACAAGCTGAAACAGGGCACTTTGGAAAATTTATAGAACTATTGAGTCCCTACCTAATGATAAGTTACTAATCGTCAGGACAAGAAAGATGCATCCCAGAAATCACAATGGTGTAAGGGAGTTGGGCTGTGTGCTGCGTTGTCAAATAGTCAGGATCTTCAGCTTTGTGAATAACCAAGCAATGCATCCCCAGAGAGACAGGTGGTCACGAGCCCATCACTCCAGCCACAGATGCCCAGGGCTGACAACCACAGGCTCATGGGTGTTTCTGCTTTTCCCTCTTACAGTCTCTTCTAAAATCAGCAGCACAAGCTCAGGGCCAAAGCTGGCACTGAAGGAAAATCTGAAATAGGCAAAAGTTTGCCTTGAATGCCTGCTCCTGCTCTTCCCCCCGGCCCTCCATGCTCTTGTCCAGATCTGTTCTTCTTGACAGCAGTCATGTTGGCCAACTCTCATTTTAGGTGTAAGGTATATCAGCCTCCTTCAGTCTCAGGTGCAGTCCTTATACCTAAAATTGAGGGCTGGCCAAGATGACTGCCTAAGGTGTTTGTCTTGAAAAAAATAGTATTGTTATGTTTAACAATAAATAAATAAGCATTTATTCGATGATAATTTGGTTTCTTTTCTAGAACTCTTTAGATTATCTGTCGCTGTTTCATTGTGTAAGTCTGATTCACAATACAAAACAGAATTTTCCATAGATCGTTCAAAAGGAAGAGACTTTTATGAAAGGATGTGTGGGCAGCATTTAAGGAACAATTAAAGAATGGTGAGGAGTTTAGAAACCAGCAACAGAAGAAACCATTAACACCCCTGAGGCTAAAGGAGAAAGTGAGAAAATGGGATCACTGAAGCTCAGAGAGAGAGCAGGAGACAGGGAAGAAGTTGGCTATCTCTAGAGGAGACAAAGCAGAGAGGGAGCAGAGAAGAAATACCCCAAACACAGTCTCCTCCCGCCAGTATCTCCCATGGGTTGAACCCAGACAGAAGAAGTCCAAGAGCAGTCTTTAGGCATCAGCCAACTGGTCACAGAGCGAGACAGAGGAGGATACACACTGGATTCATGAACGGGATGGGATGTAGAAGAAAAGTCAACACAGGAATCTAATTCTTATCTTTTTTCTCTAGCTTGATTAGAGTGTTCCTTTCTAACATGCTAAATGTCTACATTGTTCTTAAGTCACTCCAAGTTCTGGTTGTAAGAATTCAAAGAAGTTCAGTTTCAAATCCCTTATCCATAGCTATTCCAATAACTGCCTAATTGTGTTTTTTCCCCCTTTCCCTCCTATTTATCTTATACTTTACAATCTAATCTTAAAAAAAAAAACATAATTCAGTTATTCTTATTCCAATATTCAGCTCAGATGCCTCCATTCCATGCTTGTCCTAAAAAGTGAGTCCCAGGCAGAGATGGGGCCTCTGGTGTTTGAGTTCTTATTTTGTCTTAGCCAATTGTGCAGTACTTATCACATGCCTCCTAGTACCCCAGGAAATTACCTGTTTTCCTTCATTAGATAAAATCTTGAAAGTGGAATGGTTTCATGTACATGTTTACAATTCTCTCTAGTTACTGAATTCATTTACTTTCTACATTACAATCACCTTAAACATTTACTGAGGAATCAGCTTACGGATGAATATCCACTCCATTTCTCCCCTTCCTTGACAAATCCAATTTGATCTATTATGATCAGTTTCAATATCACAGCCTCCAGGAAACCTTTGACCCTGTCTCCTCCCAAGGATATGTTGGGTACTCTTCCTGGGTACCCTGTGCCTTGGTTGTCACAGCATTTATTACAGACATACAGTTTGTAAATGGTAGAGCTATGGTTCAAACTGAGTCATATATAATTCCAGAGATCATGTTTGTTATGACATATTTCTTCTCAAGAAGAACGTAGAAGGGAAAAATTACATTTAGGCAGTAAGAAAAAACTTCATGAGAAAGGTGGTAAATGAGATAAATTCCTGAAGTAGAATGGATTTTGGCAGATAGCTGTGACTAACACAGGCACTATATACAGAGAGAAAAGAACGTGTAGAGGCATAGAACTGGCATATCGTAGAGGACGTGTGGAGTTTGTGGGAAGTGAGGCTGCTTATGTTGGTGCCATATTGTGGACAGTCTTCATCTGAGGAGCCTGTTGCTGCAATCTGTGAACACACTGGGAAACACAGCAGAGTAGGGAAGGGAGGATGGGTCAATCTAGAAGTAAAAAGAATGTAACTGGCTAAGATATTTTTGGATGTGGAGAGATTAACTTGTTATTCTTGTTGCTTCTTAAGAAGGGCCTTCAGAAACAGTGCTTTAACTCACCAGTGAGTTAGTTTGATAGTGAATGTTTAAAGTACCCTGAGAGGAAAGGGATATTTGTTGGACCTTTGAAATCACATCCTGGATACAACCTTTACACACGTGGGTCCAGATATAGGTAGTGGTGAGCGTGGATTGCCATGGGTCACTCGAGCAGAAATGGCCTGAACAGTTCTCAAAAGCAGCAACGGACTTCAGGAAGGAAGTTCTGGCATGGGAAGGGATAATATCGTTTAGCAGTCCATAGAGAGTTAATCTCCTGCAGTGTGCTCTATTGCTTTGTTCACACATAGATACAGACCGATGTCAATGTTTATAAAAAATAATTATCAAAAAATAATTTTTTTTAATGTCTCAGCTATTATTTCTTCAAATATTGTTCACACCCTATTCTCTTATTTTTCTGGGGCTCCAATTTGTAGTGTATCATGTTATTTTTCACTGTGTCCTACAGGTCTCTCATGCTCTTTTATTATTTTTCATTATTGCTTCTCTTTGTGCTTCAGCTTGGATATTTCCTATTTATCTATCTACCAAGTCTCTAATGTCGACTTCTGCTGTGTTGAATCTGCTGTTAAATCCATCTATTTAGTACTTAGTTTCAGTTGTATTTTTCAATCCTTGAATTTCCATTTAATTCTATTCCATAGTTCAATTTTCTGGTGAAATCCTCCATTTTATATCTATTTCATCCATCTTTTTCTCTATTTTTTGAATATATCATTAATAGTTGATTTTAAAGTCTTTGCTAACTCAAATACCTGGATCACCTGGTTGTTTTGCCTTTTGCTGCTGTTGTTGTATGCCCCTCTTCTTTGGCATGACTAATTACTTTTGACTGAATGGTAGATATTGTATATCTAAAAAGTCCTAGGGACTCCAGCTGATAGTATCTTCTTTCAGAGAGGGTACTTTCTTCTACTAGGCAAACAGAGTAGAGTCTTTTCACCATAATCCCAATCAAATATTGAACTGAGCCAAGACAAGACTGCAGGTTTAGTAAAGCTCAGGCCACCCCTCTAGTTTTACTCGTTTTTAGGGTATAGATCTACATGTTTTTCATTTTAGAATGTGGTATGTTCATCAGAACACCCTCTGAGGGACTCCTATACTCAACACTGTCTCTTCGGTAAGGTGAGACTGAAAAAAACAAAACAAAACAAAACAAAACAAAAAACCCTAAAATCCCCCTCTGAGTTTTAAAAGTGTTCTGCTTAGTTTCATATGCTCCTTTCCCCTGTAGCTTCAGAATGCAGCAAATATCCTGAGGGGGAAACCAGCTGTATATCAGGCCCCATTTCTTATCTTTTTCCTCCCATTGTGATCTTCAACTCTCCAGTTTCCAATTTTGTCTCAGTTGAGCTTATTTCTCTGTGCCCCATCAATGGCTCTCAATCCACACAAAATCTAGATTCTCAACTTTTTACCCTGTGCCCTAGAATAAACAAATGCCCCCAAAGGAAAATGGTTACCGAAGGTAAGCTCATCTTTTCACAGTTCCTCTGCTCTGTAAAGATTTTTCCTTATTGCCCTTGTTGCTTCAGCAGCACTCTGATGCTTTTAAAGTGGTGTTTTTTTTTAATGTATGACTTTTCTAATGGTGCTCAATGAGAAGGTTGGTGTGCTACATGCTATTCTATCCTACTTCTAAGCAGTTGTCTTAAATATCATATTAAAAGGAAAGAAGCAGATATTAAATCATTGAAGTAGTGTGTTCAATTTGATAGGTGTTAACTGGGAACTAGGGCACCTGTGCTGTATCTCTGGCTCTGAAATTAACTGACTGTATAGCACTGGTCAAGTTACTTTGCCTTCCTGGATACTACTTTTCTTACCTGTAAAATAAAAAGATGAGGCTAGATGAGCTCTAAGATATTTTATTTGATTTCTATGAGATTGTATTATCATGATTTGAACAATTTGATTAGCTTATAAGTGTACTTCAGGACCGTCATAGAGCATGTTATGTAATCATAATAGTAACATCAACAAATAATAATAATAAGCAATTAGATCACAGAGATGCTTAGAAAAGGATTACACTTTAAGGCTCCATTTTCATTGCAGCTTAATCAGCACAACAAAAAAGTTTTTAAATAACCAAGCTAACACAAGTTTCTACAAAGATATTCTTATTGATCATTATAATACAGACGACCAAATGTCCTTGTTTGCCCGCAACATTCCCATTTTATGTTTATTATCCCCAAATAACTATTAATAATTTTTCACTCAAAAATATTTTAGTTTGGTTGACAAATAATGTGGTCATTCTAATTATAATGCAAAAAAAAAGGAAGCTCTAGGTTACTCATATGCATAATCATTTCTTGAGGCTGCTCTGAGAGAATATCGACATGCCAATAAGCAAAAATGACTAGTGGTAGAAACTGCATCACTTCAATTTCCATTCAGACATAATATTGATATGATCTAGAATATTCAGGCATTGTTTGAATCCCTAGACTACTTGACAGTTTTCCAAATGTGTTCTTGTTTCTCACAGAAGAGTGAGAATCAGCTGGACAAGGTGTTATTCACAACAGGCCAACAAAAGTGTCATCTGGTAAGGAGCAGAGCTTTTAACAGGCATAGATAACTGAAGAAAAAATATCATGAGCACAAAAGTCATTGATGGAGAATATTTGTAAGGGAACATCATACCTCTATACCTATGATCTCTACAATCCATCTAACCTAGTGTTTACAGAACGCATAGAACAGTTGTGAGGCTGAAATGACTTCAATTGAAACATTATTTCAGTCGGTCACTGGGTGATATATACATATACTTATTTTACTACTTGCCTGACTTGCAGGCAAAAATGTGTGAGTGATGTATTTTGAAAATATCCTGGAAAATATTTTTTAAAGTGTCTTTAAATAATTCATCATCGTATTATTACTGTTGATTGCCTTTCTCTTTGTCCATTATGGAGTATATTAAAGCTTCTTAATTAATGTTTTAAAAATTCTACATCAACAATGACAATTAGTTCTAAAATTGTATTAGAGTCTGAAGAAATGTGATGTATTTGACTATCCTATCTTTTTGTGCAAATTTTATTTTGGTAGTTGTCCCCAACTGTAATGCAGCAAATTAGTGCTTATTTTCTCTAATTCTACAGACAGAAGAAGGGCCTAGAAAAAATAATAGTGTATCACATATGACCACAATCCATTTATCCACTTATTCATTCATTTACTTAAGAAATATCTACAGAGACACTAGTTTTGATGCTGGTTTGTATTGTTATATATTTTAATATTACAAAATCATAGTATTTCCAATCTATTACCTAGTATTCAAACTCAGAGTAATGAATATATATCAAGTCCATATATACCAGCTTTTTAAATCATTTTCCTATTGTTGGCAATTGATGCTATTTCTAGAGTTTTTCACAGCCGTACATCTGTAATAAACATCGGCATGTAAATAAATTTGCATGTTGAAATTATTTTCTTAGAATGCTCAAGGATTGGTTCCATTAGAATTCCAGAGTCAAGGAGAATTAACATTGTTAAGGCCCGTGATATATTGCCAAATTGCTTTACCAACTACCCATATCAAAATACATTATTAACAGAAAGATAGCTTTATAAATAAAAATTTATAAATGAAAATTGCTACTTTCATTATTGACAGGACAAATAAAAGTGGAAAATACCAATAAAATCTGAGTACAGAGCATTATAGATGAACTTTTATTCTAGAAAATTTAAAACACATTCTTTTCAAGATAAAAATAATTATCCTCTTAGTCTTCCAGATGACAATTTTTTGTGTTTTATCTTGAATTTACAAAAGAAAAAGAAAAAAAATCAATCTAATAAATATGTAACAAAGAATTGAAATATCTGTCAAACAGAATACATGACTTTAGGCAAAGAATTGTAGCTATACGTTAAACTGTAGAAAATACGGGAAAAATAATATTTTATGTGATGCTCTCCTTCCTTAATAGCTTGTGCCCTAACGTTTCCAAATCTATTTTTGAGAATAGTAGAAGATTGACATTTGCCAGCTAATAAATTCAGAAGCATGTATCTGGGCTTGCCCTCATAATTATATAACTTATATTTAGGTACATATATCCACCCTTAATTCAACCTGACTAGAAATAAGTTTTATTTCAGCCTACGTTTAGACTATTTTCAATACTGAAGACAGTGATACTCATTAACTTTCCCATACTTGCTTTCATTGAAGTAGCAATTCCAGTTAATGTACTGTATTTTACAATGGGTGTTTATTTAGTAGGCTGAATAATAATCTGACATCTCCTGGTTTCCTGATAGGGTCTTTGATGTTCTCAAATGAAGTTTGAACCCATTTACAACTGTATTACTATTTATGGAACATACACATCAAAACCTTTAACACAAAACAACATTCTTTGAAAAAAGACTGGGAAAAGAATCTGAACTGTTTATTTTCAAGACCTTTTTGCCAATAAGAGAAATCCTAACATATTCCATTTTATGATCTAGCACACATATACTCACATCTCACTTTCACATACACAAATTGTAGTCAAAATTGCTTTAGCGAAAGCTGAAATATGAGGTATTCTAAATAATTACCACAGCAGAAAAAATTATCCAAGTTATATACCTCATATTTATAATAATTATATTAATAGTCCTCAGATTATAACATATCAAAATTGTTAATTCATTTAGAAAAAGCAAATGTATTAACTTAGCAGAATCCAAGATAATCTGATTACTGCTACAGGCTTTGCAATGTAAAATCCATATTGAATATTGTGATAACAGATTTATCAGCTAAGTAATTATTGGGTGGGCCTCTTTTATGTGTATGCAACATATTTAGTAAATATTATTATTGTATTTAGTTTAGGAAACAGAACAGAGTCTTCAGAAACGGAACTTACATTTATAGTCTGTTGTTTGGAAACCAACGATTTTTTCTTCTGGCCATTTGACATTGTATTCAACTCCTGACATCATTGATATATTATGCTCCTGACCTTAATTCTCGACTGCTATTCTCTGATTACTTTTTGCCATGAGAGTTGATAACTCCTCTAACATATTTATGGAATTGCTTCTCTTTTTTGCTTTAGGGAAATCATCTACTCAGAAGAAACATTTTACCAGTTTTATTTTGTCTTCTCTCAGCCTTAATATCCTCGCGTGGTTAGGAAGCTTCAGTTTTCTACTGAAAAGTTCACTTAGATTAACTATAAAAACCTAAAGGTGGACAGACAAATCAGAAACTAAAGTTGGCAATTTTTCTACTCTACAACTTGGTGCTTTTTTCTTAATTTTCCATTTTTTTTTTCAAGTCATTAGCAACTTTGTTCGCTCTGGGACCCATGCAGTTATTTTCTATTGTCTCATCCTTAACATCATCTGTGCACTACACATTACAAAAAGACCCACACCTTCTTTCCATCTCCAGACTGGCCACCATAAGTTAGGCCCCAACCATTACCATTATACTTCTGTGTCCGGAGTTGGTTCTCTCCGGCGGGTTTGTGGTCTCGCTGACTTCAGGAAAGGAGCCACGGACCTTCGCAGTGAGTGTTACAGCTCTTAAAGGTGGCACGGACACAAAGAGTAAGCAGCAGCAAAACTTACTCTGAAGAGTGAAAGAACAAACCTTCCATACGGTAGAAGGTGACCCAAGTGGGTTGCGGGGGGCTGGCTGGGGTGGCCAACTTTTATCCCTTTATTTGTCCCCGCCCATGTCCTGCTGATTGGCCCATTTTACAGAGTGCTGATTGGTCCATTTTACAGGGTGCTGATTGGTCCATTTTACAGAGCACTGATTGGTGCATTTTACAAACCTCTAGCTAGCTACAAAGCACTGATTGGTGCATTTTACAATGCTAGCTACAGAGTGCTGATTGGTGCATCTTACAATCCTCTTGTAAGACAGAAAAGTTCTCCAAGTCCTCACTTAACCCAGGAAGTCCAGCTGGCTTCACCTCTTGCTTCCAAACATAGAGAATCATACAGCTTTTAACTTTAGAAAAGCTTCCTTAAATGCCTTATTCCATGGACTTCTTGGTGGTTGTAATATCAAATATAAATTACTTAGTTTGGCCTTGCCAAATTGTTGTTTCACTCTCTTTCAGGTTAAGTTTTGTTGCCCAATTCATACAGTTTGTGTGCTTCTTTTGCAAATGAAATTCTCTTCTTTTTTTCCAAATATGTGCCTTCTATTCTCAAATCCAATCTACTTAACCCCGTTTCACACTTGCTTTGGACTTCTTTAAGTGACATTCAGCTTTATGTGACTTTGTAAACGGAAACTTCCTAACTGGACTGTTAACTCCCATAGATCTCTCTCACAAACATGGAATGGAGCTTTATGAATAAGATTCACCTGCTCTTTATTCAATCAAAACTATTGTTGACAAAATCATGCCGTGCCCTGTTATTTTAAAGGGAGAAAGGGAGGTTTTGAAAAATGCCACAGATAACATCAGAAAAATATTAAAAGCTACAGTGGGCTCCACTTCCCCCGTAAGAACATGGAGACCTGAGAGTGAAATGAGAAAAAATTCAAATGTTTATGGCAGCTCTCTGCAGACAATCACCTCAGAACTGTGATATGTGACTGAGAAACCTTAAGAATGCCCAAGCCTGATCGAGATAATGGAGAGTCCAATCTCAACTTTAGCTCAGAAATAGAATGACTTTGGAAACCAGTAAGGAGTCACTCAGGTAAAAATGTGTCTAAAGAAACACATTCTGTTAGCAGAAATGAGTTGGCTTGTACCAAGTCATAAAGGATGAGTTAGGCTAGGCATAGTGGCTCATCCCTGTAATCCCAGGAGTTTGGGAGGTCAAAGTGGGCGAATTGTTTGAGGCCAGGAGTTCAAGACCTGGCCTCAAGCCAAAGCAATACACCAAGACCCCATCTCTACAAAAAATAAAAAAAAAAAATAGTTGGGCATAGTAGCAGCATGTGCCTGTAGTCCTAGCTTACACAGGAGGCAGAGACAGAAGGATCCCTTGAGCCCAGGAGTTTGAGGCTGCAGCATGCTATAATTATGCCACTGCACTCTAACCTGGGTGAGAGAGTGAGACCCTATCTCAAATAATAACAATAAGAATAATAAATAAAAAGACGAGTTGGAGAATATGAACTTTTGTCAGCACTGTCAAAGGGAGAGGGATTCTGAATTTAGGAGGATAGGAGCCTTCTGAGGAAGGAATCATCTCTTCATTCTTCCATAGCATTGATAAAACATTGCTTAGGATTTCCACGGGCTCTGACTCTATGGGCTAAATAGTTTCTATTCGCCCGTCCAGAGCTACTCTCCACCCTTCTCTGCCTTGCTCTGTGCCCTAGGAGGCTGCCCTCCTCAGACTATATGTTAGCGCTCCCTTAACTAAAGCTTTTACTTGCTCTTGGCCAGTGTGGTAGAGGTTGGAATGCCTTAGCAGAAGGTTGGAGGGCAGAAGGAGAAGTCAGGCTGATTTCCTCTACCTACAACTGCAGCTGCTGTCAGGTGGCCTCTTTTCTAGGACTACAGCTCTCATCAGGTTCCAGTCAACAGTTCTCTCCCCTTGGCCTTTCAGGCCAAGCACTGGGAATACTTGCCTTTATGCTATTGTGCTGAAATTTCTTGGATGCTTCTTTATTCCATCATCATCCCTAAATCCTGATCCTAACTGTCTAAACAGACTTATAACCACCATGCTCTTTGATTTCTACTTTCTATGTGCCATCTCCCTCTTCCTGGGACCCTGACTGATACACACTGTAATCACTTATTGATTGTTTTTAGCTTCTTCTGATATATGATCCTGAAATGGGGGATAAAAAGAACATTCTGGTTAATAGTTGTGTGTGTGTGTGTGTGTGTGTGTGTGTGCATAATGTGCATGTGTATGTGTTTGTCTTCCTCATTATTAAAGGCTTTGGTGGGGCACAGTGGCTCACGCTTGTAATTCTAGTACTTCGGGAGGCAGAGGCAGGCGGATCATCTGAGGTCAGGGGTTCGAGACCAACCTGGCCAACATGGTGGCACCCTGTCTTTACCAAAAATACAAAAATTAGCCAGGTATGGTGGTGCACGCCTGTAGTCTCAACTACTTGGGAGGCTGAGGCAGGACAATCGTTTGAACCCAGGAGGCAGAGTTTGCAGTGAGCCAAGATCACGCCACTGCGCTCCAGCCTGGGCAACAGAGCGAGACTCTATCTCAAAAAAAAAAAAAAAAAGGCTTTAATTTTAACTTAAAAATCAGTCTGTAAATGGCTTGGCTTATGCAAATCATCTTTGATTGTATCTTACTTTAGGTGCACTGACAAACCTGAATATGAGTACAGTGGGCCTCATGGAGCCTCAGGCTAAGTCAGAACTAGGCACAGGAATCTTATGTAATTTAAGAATTTTCTAAGAAAATGTCTAAGTCTAAGCCTTGGAAGCCAGAAGCCAGTTTAGGTTTTAATCTAATAGTGGAAGTTTATGATGTATTGGATGAAATCTGGTCTCTATTCTGGAAAATAATTACTGGAATATTATATTGAAATATGATTTTTATTTCAGATTATCTCAGCATACTCTTAACACTATTGAATCACTTTTAGATCTGTTATGGGAATACTGTCCTTCAAATAATGGCCAAAAATGTGCATTTTGATGGCCTGTCTAGACCTGATAAAAACAATTCTCTAATCTGACTGATAATTCAGAAGATCTGATAACACCATACCCTCCATACCCTCAACACAGAAAGTAATAGTTATCCTGAGCTGGAGAATAGTTGTTTCCTCAAGATGATACATGCTCTCTCTAATTCACTACAGAACCTACTAGGTCTCCTCATGAATGTTACTATTAGGTCTCTAGGTTCTCAATCCCCATTTTAAGAGGTACTGTCATCAACTCTGATGAGTGGACGAACAGGTCTGGTGTGCTCTCACCAGAAAGTGAATTATTCATTCATGTATTCATTTAATCAGTCAGACCGCAATTTATAAATGTTTCCTCTATGTCAGACACTGCTCCATGTACTGAGGATATAGCACTAAACAAAACAGAGACGTTCATGAAGATTATGTACAGTGCAATGGAAAAGTAATACTTAATTCCAGCAATATATTGGTGCCATTTTCCAACAGCATGTACTCACTTCATGTTTGAGTCACATTTTGATAATTCTCACAATATTTCAAACTTTTTGATTATTATCATATCTGTTATGGTGGTATGTGATCAGTGATCATTGATATTACTATTGTAATTGTTTTGGGGTGTACAAAACATGCTCAAATAAAACAGCAAACTTAATAAATGTTGTGTATGTTCTGACTGCTCCACTGACTGGCCAATGTCCCCATCTCTCTCCCTCTCCTTAGGCATCCCTATTTGCTAAGACAGAACAGTATTAAAGTTAGGCTAATTAATAAGCCTACAATAGCCTCTCAGTATTCAAATGAAAAGAAGAGTCACATGTCTCTCACTTTAAATCAAAAACCTAGAAATGATTAGGCTTAGTGAGGAAAATATGTTGAAAGCTGAGATAGGCTTCTTGTGCCAAATAGTTAGCCAGGTTTTGAAGGCAAAGAAAAAGTTCTTGAAGGAAATTAAAAGTGTTAGTCTAGTAAATACACAAATAAGAAAGTACATAGCCTTATTGCTTGTATTGGAGAAAATTTTAGTATTCTGGATAGAAGATCAAACTAGCCACAATATTCCATTCAGCCAAAGCCTAATCCACAGCAAGGCCTCTTTTCAAGTCTATGGAGGCTGAGAGAGGGAAGTTTCAGAGGAAAAGTTTGAAGTTAGAAAAGGTTGGTTTATGAGGTTTAGGGCAAAAAGCCATCTCTGTAACACAGAAGTGCAAGATGGATGCAGCAAGTGCTGATGTAGAAGCTACAGCAAATTATCTGGAAGATCCAGCTAAGATAATTAATGAAAGTGGCTACATTAGACAACATATTTTCAGTGTAGGTGAAACAGCCTTCTATTGGAAGAAGACGTCATCTCAAGCTTTCATAGCTAGCAAGGGGAAGTCAATGCCTGGCTTCAAAGATTCAAAGGACAGGCTGACTCTCTTATTAGGGACTAATGCAGCTGGTGACTTTAAGTTAAAGCCAATGTTGTTTACCATTCTGAAAATCCTAGGGCCCTTAAGAATTATGCAAAATCTATGTTGCCTGTGCTCCCTAAATGAAACAACAAAGCATGGATGACAGCACATCTGTTTACAGCATGGTTTACTGAATATTATAAGCCCACTGCTGAGACCTACTGTTTAGAAAAAGAGATTCCTTTCAAAATATTACCGTTTACTGACAATGCACCTGGTCACCCAAGAGCTCTGATGGAGATGTACAAGAAGATTAATGTTGTTTTCATGCTGGCTAACACAATATCCATTCTGCAGCCCATGGATAAAGCAGTAATTTCTACTTTGAAGTCTTATTATTTAAGAAATACATTTAATAAGCCTGTAGCTGCCATTCATAGTGATTTTTCTGATGGAAATGGGCAAAGTAAACTGAAAACCTTCTGGAAAGGATTCACCATTCTAGATGTCATTAAGAAAGTTATAATTGGCTAGGCACAGAGGCTCATGCCTGTAGTCCCAGCGCTTTGAGAGGCCAAGGCAGGTAGATCACCTGAGGTCAGGAGTTCGAGACCAGCCTAGCCAATATGGTGAAACCCCATCTCTACTAAAAATACAAAAATTAGCTAGGTGTGGTGGCAGGCACCTGTAATTCCCAGCTACTCAGGAGGCTGAGGCAGGAGAATTGCTTGAACCTGGGAGGTGGAGGTTGCAGTGAGCCAAGATTGCACCATTGCACTCCAGCTTGGGTGACAAGAGTGAAACTCCATCTCAAAAAAAAAAAAATTATGATTTACAGGGGGAGGTCAAAATATCAACATTGACAGGAGTTTAGGAGAAGTTGATTACAACCTTCATGGATGACTTTGAGGACTTCAAGAATTCAGTGGAGGAAGTAATCGAAGATGATAGAAATAGCAGGAGAACTAGAATTAAAATAGAGCCTGAGGATTTAACAGAACTGCTACAATCTTATAATAAAAGTTGAATGGATCAGGAATTGCTTCTTATGGATGAACAAAGAAAGTAATTTCTTCAGTGGAATCTATTCCTAGTGAAGATGGTATGAATTCTTTGTTGTCATTATTGAAATGACAATGAAGTATTTACAACATTACATAAACTTAGTTGATAAAGCAGTGGCAGGGTTTGAGAGGATCGGCTCTGATTTTGAAAAAAGTTCTACTATGGCTAAAATGCTATCAAACAGCATCTCATGAAATCTTCCATGAAAGGAAGAGTCAACTGATGCAGCAACATCATTGTCTTATTTTAAGAAATTGCCACGGCCACCCCAACCTTCAGCAACCACCATCCTGGTTAGTGATTAGTCAGCAGCCATCAACATTGAGGCAAGACCCTCAACCAGCAAAAAATTATAACTAGCTGAAATCTCAGCTGATTGCTAGCATTTTTTAACAATAAAGTATTTTAAAATTAAGTATACATATTGTTTTGTAGATATACTTCTATTGTACACTTGATTGACTATAGTAGAGTGTAAGCATAATTTCACGTGCACCAGAAAACCAAAAAATTTGCGCAACTCACTTTATTATACTTGCTTCACTGCAGTGGTCTGAAACCAAACCTGCAGTATATTTGAGATATGCCTGTATAGAGAAACTTTACTCCAACATATCTGTGCTCTACCCTCATGTTGTTACCATAATAAATTACATTTTTACACACTATGAACCCATTAATGTAGCTTCATAATTATTGTTTTATTCATTTATCTTTTAAGTCACATAGAAATAAAAAGAGGTATTACAAATCCAAAATATAATAATAATGGCTTTTATATTTACCTATGTATACTTTTACTGTTGTTATTTACTTCTTCATATGATATTGGGCCACTGTCTAGTGTCCTTTCATTTCAGTCTGAGGAACTTCCTTTAGCATTTCTCATTAGCAAGGACTAATAGCAATGAACTCCTTCAGCTTTTGTTACCTGGGAATGTCTTAATCTCTTTCATTTTTGAGGGGTAATTTTCCTAGATATAGGAGTCTTGGTTTACATTTTAATATAGCCTCCCACTGCTTTCTAGCTTTCATATTTCCTGATGAGAAATTGGCTGTTAATCTTATTGTGGTGTCCTTGTACATGACAAATTGTTTTTTCCTGTTTCTGCTTTCAAGAGTTTTTTTTTTTTTTTTTGGCTTTTGAAAATTTGGCTCAATATGGATTTCCCTCAGTTTATCCCATATTGCACTTCCTGGTATCAGCAACCTATAGTAGCAATGCAATCTGCCATCTTCAAGGCAGAGCTAGGAAGTACAGGATGGTAGCAAGCCTAGTAAAATAAAACAGAGCTCTTTTACTGAAATCAAACTGTTATTTATTTATTAGGCATTTCTCTGGTTGTGGTAACTTTTTGATTGAATTCCAGAGACCTAAAAAAATTGATGTTGACAGTTTTTGCTAGCTTAGTCATTGCTTTGTGAAAGAAAATAGTTTGGAGTTCAATACCCCTATCATTTTTGCTAATCTCAAATATAAATTGATTCATATTTTCTATTTTCTATTTATATTTTCATATAATTGATTTATATTTTCTAAGTCCTGTAGAATTGGAAAGGCATAGCTAGAATTTTAACAGGAAAATGAGAAAAGAGTGATTAGAACATGTGCCAGGGATCCCCAAGACCACACCTAGGTTCCATGATTTACTAGGAGGATTCATAAGACTCAGCAAACAGTTGTGCTCACAGCTATGATTTTTTGTGGTTAATAGATACAAAGCAAAATCAGCAAAAAATAAAGGTGCATGGGGACAAGTCTGGAGGAAACCAGGTATAAGCTTTCAGGAGTTTTCTCTGAGTGGAGTCACATAGATTGCACTCAAGTCCTCCAGCAACAAATTGTGATAATATGTGCAATATGTTATTTACCAGGGAAGCTCATTCAGTGTCCAGGGATTTTACTGGTAGCTTGTTACATAGGCACCCTCTTCCTGGCACATAACAAAATTCTAGACTCCCAGAGGGAAAGCAGGTGTTCAATGTAAACCTCATGGTTTATGCAAACAGTTTAGGCACAGTTAGCAATTCTTATCAATTACGGTGGTGAGAACTCTGTTGAAATCCAAGGTTACAGATATCAGTCAACCTTGCATGCAGGCCTTTATAAGGATAGCAGTCTCAGGCCTGCTATGTTAACTCTTTTCTGGACAGGGCACTTGTCACACTATATTGAACTCTGGGACACAGGTGAATAAAATAGATTCTTATGAAGTTTTTTTGTACATTTTGTGATGCAATTTTCCTTTGTTTTCATTTCTTTATCAGGAAATTTCAATAAGACTTACAATATTTTTCTACACTTTGGATTGGTATTTTGCTTAGTTGCAACACTAAGCTAAGATGGATCTTCAGTTGGAAAATTCCAGTTTTATTCAGATTTTGGAAGCATACTTCAAGGGAAAGGTGGGGTATAATAAAAAAATACAAATAAAAACTGCTATCTTCAGAGTATCTCAAACAAATAAATTGAGAGCACTAGGAAGCCTCACTGTAGGCTGGTACAAAGTGTAGCCCACAAGTTAGAAGATTTTTTTTTTTTTCATATCAGCTGAGTGACCGCTAAAGAAACAGCCCAGGTCATCACAGTAGCCTCCAAAGTTTGGGATTCAAATAGACAATGTGGGGACACCAGAGGACAAGACAGGAGTAGTAGCTGCTATAAAATGTCCACACAAATGCATACTAGCCATACCTTGGGACTATGACAATAAAGAATCATGTATAGGCTAAAGGAGGAAAACATGGTCATTTGTGAGTGCATGGGAGTTATCCATGGGACCCCTCTTGTCCTAGCCTGCTAGAGTTGCCATTACAAATACCACAGACTGGGTGGCTTATATAACAGAAGTTTATTTTCTTACAGTTCTGATGCTAGAAGTCTAAGATGAAAGTATTGGCAGGTTTGGTTTCTCTTGAGGCCTCTCTTCTCGACTTGCAGATGGCCATCTTCTCACTGTGTGCTCTCATGGCCTTTCCTCTGTTTGCCTACATGCTGGGTATTTGTTTATCTTCTTCTAGGGACAACAGCACTACTGAATTGAGGCCCTGCTTTTATATCCTCATTTAATCTTAACTACCTCCTTAAAGGCCCTATCTTCAAATATAGTTACATTCTGGGTTAGGGATTCAACATATTAATGTGGGAGGTTGGAACAATTCAGCTCATAACATGACCCCACACCCAGAATTGTCATTTTGCACCCAGGCCAAATTCAAAGAACCAGGTTGAATAAAGTCAGCATTTTTAGAACCAAAATTATATATATGATCATAGCATTCGTTTCATTCACACCTCCGGGGTCCTCAGGAGGCTGGAATTCTAGTGGCTAGCCGGATTAACTGTATTGTTATTCTTCATCTTATCATATTACACTTTCTCCCTAATAGCTACTCCTTAAGCTGCTCTTATGATTAATTTAGATATTTGAAAGTGATCAAATGCACCACATAAACTTTTCAACATACTCAGAAAGGAAGCAATTCCATACAGAATCTTACTACATATTTTAATTAGAATTGTCATTTCCACCCAGGCCAAGTTCAAAGAACTAGGTTGAATAAAATCGCCATTTTTAGAACCAAAATTATATATATGATCATCCCATTATAATAGTATCACTAAACCACTTCAGGTTTAATGAATTATTTTATAAATAAATGCATAACTACATAATGTTTCTCTCTTCCTTACAATGAACCCTTAATGCAGCCATTCTCATGGGGGAAAATAAGAAAAGAGTGAGAAGTTTAAGTGAAATGTCTATCTCCAATGTAGCAATTAGCATTTTCAGGTAGTTTTAGGCAAAAGTCAGTGTGAGCTCTTAAGAGTCTCTGATGCCTTCCAGATGAGAGAAGACATTTTAGGCTGTACAGTGGTGTCAGGCCTCAGTGTCATGCCTGTGCTCTCTCAGGACATGCCCAGGCAGGTGCTATTTTCATTACAGAATAGTTAATTTAACACCCTAAACAATTTTAACTGGCTTTGTTCGCCTCATTTAATTTTCTCTCTGCGTTCAGCTCCACAAATATTTCAGAAGTGAAATAAACTGGGTTTCTGGGATTGCTCTGCTCAATAGGGCACCATTCATGTGGCAGCACATATGCATCTTAGCTTCTGGAGTTGAGCAGTGCACACTGCACAGCTGCACCCACAAGCCCTGGGTGTGAATGCCCTGACAGTCACTGGGACTTAGCCAGGCTAAGCATGTCCAGACTTCCTCTCCAGGAACTCTAGATTGAGACAGTTCTGTTTTTTCTCCAAACTTAATGAATACTGTAGGGAACCCAATATTATTCTACCCTCTGATATTATCTGTCTCTCCCAAAGCTGAGCAATACTTTGGTGATAGCATCGAGGGCAGTGAGTTTTGGCGTTATCCTGTCTAATTATCTGTGATTTGGAAATTTTTAGAGATAGCATTCTTAAACTGGATTGGCCTAGGCCCACTTAATTAACTATAGCTTCAGCCTAGGGGTAATAAATAAGATTAATATAGTATTTAAGGTAAGTGGCACTGGGAAGCCTCTCCATTGATTACAGAATGTGTTAAGATTTTGTCTTTCATGTCCACATGAGAGGAAAGAAAGGAAAGCTGGAAGGAAAGTGATTCATTAAATGTCCTTTGTCTAAAAACCTTGGGATGTTTGACATCCTATTTTTCCTGACCTCTGAGTGATCACTACCACAGCCAGGGATAATGTTTTTAATGTCACAGTTTGAACAGGGCCCAATATTTTAAATTAAATCCACAGATTAAGCCTTATAAATTTCCTGGTTCCGCTGCCTTACATTATTGGATATATTTCTGTTTCCTTTGCTTTCATAGACCTAAATAATGAAAACCCTTTATAGTCCATCCAAAGCTCACCGACTCTGACATGTGCTATTCACATTTTATGAGTAATTTCCAGGGTACTTCCTATTTTCTACTGAGCTGTATGCCAAGATAACTTCTGGACAGTATAACAGCATGGGTAATTGGCAGTTATCCAGGTTTGTTTTGGATATGTTATGGAGGTGTTTCTACAAATTAAGGACCCATGCAAACAGGTAAATTTTATTATCTAAGAATAATTCTCATTGGGGAATATCCCCTTACTTTAACTCCCTTTTCATATATTTATATAAAATTGCCTCAAATGCTGCTTTCTATTCCTTTGAAGGATACCATTAATAGATATCCAAAGGCAGCCATAATTAGGTAACCCGGCCAATTAAATAAGGAAACACAATATCTTGTTAGCAATTGGCATCAACTGCTGGGTGACATTTTGACAAACTGCTTCAATATAATGTATAGGATTTTGGTGACTTTTCACTTCTTAAAAGGTTATAGTCTCTGAAAAGTAACATTGAAAAAGCTGATATTTAAAGGGTATAGGAAAATTCAAATAAATAGCTTGTTCTACTTTTAGGTATCTCTTCTCTTCTCACAGTAAAATCCCTGATAGTCTACTTGGTCTTTTTATTCTACTCGTTGAAGTTTCTAGTATTGTAAGGGGAAGACGATATATCTTTTCCTTCCTAAACCAGATTTGCTATCACTCGAAGCCTCATTCTGCATTTTCAATAAGAAATTTAACAGTTGACTCATTGGGAAGATCTGTATGGCTTCTTTCCTAAGAGAGGTCTAGAGATTTCTATCCCAGTAGTTATAAATGAGCCTTTTAGGAGATTTCTTCAAACCACTAAGGAGTACACACCACATTGCTCATGGGTGGAAGTTAAGGTCTACTCCACCACAACTCTAGGATCATGTTTTTCACATGATTTGCAAACTACCTATCTTAAAACAGCAATTGACGTGCTTCTTA